>NC_000023.11:33490699-33641055 GCF_000001405.40 Homo sapiens
GATCTTTTTCCAGTAATGACAGAATAAGGTCTTACCAGAATGCAGAAAACAAATAAAAAACTGAAAATTATACCAAAAGAGATATATGAAGGAAATGGAGAATGAAGAGAAGATTCCAGAATCTAGTGGTGAGTACCTACTCAAAGAGGGGAGTGTAAATGAAGTGAAAGTCCATTTTCATGAATTTGAGCCTGGGGTCAGGTACAATTATTCAGTGTGTGTTGTTGCAGGATAACTGCTGGGAAAACTGTGGTGTTTTTGGTCCAGAAAGTCAGAAAACTGAAGCTGAGGAAACTGTGCCTGAAGAACAGCATGAGGGAATCCAGGAAGTGGAAGTTACAGAGAGAAAACACCTAATTCTCTCTGTCCATATTTGCGCCTGATCCCTGACACATGCATGCACAGTGTGTATGAGCCATTGTTTGCCAACTCTAGCATAAAGGACAGCGGATATATGGACCTATAGGACTGAATAGTTTCTACAATTCATGTAAAGTGATAAACTATTTACTATAACTGGAAAGTACAAAGTTAAAGATGCTTGATTTTTCAGTAATAATACAAAGACGTAGAGTTAAAATAAAAATTATCACATAATTTTTTTAGTATACTTTAATGTTTCCAGTAGAAATAAAATTTGAAAATATAAAACTGAAAGGTAGACAGGAAAAGAGAAATAGATAAAAAGAAGAAATAGGAAATAAAATAATAAAATAATAAATAAATAATAAAATAAATAATAAATAAAACAATAAATAATAAATAAAATAAACAATAAATAATAAAATAAAAAGAAAAACACAAACTAAACCATATAAATAGTACATTTAATATTAGTAGACTTCAATCAAAAGGCAGAGATTTTAAGAAGGGATTTTAAAAAAGAGACCTAGCTTGCTGTCTACAAGAGATGCACTCTAAATATAGAGTCACAAATAGGTAGAAAGCAAATGGATAGAAAACGGTATACCACAAAAATAGTAAGTATAAGAAGGCTAAAGTGGCTATATTAATGAAAAAATAGATATTAAAACACACATACTACCAAAGATAATGAGAAATATTTTCTAGCAATAAAGGTGTCAATTCTACAGAAAAATATTATGAATGTGTATGACTCTAATAATAGAGTTTCCAAATGCACGAAGAAAATATTCACATAAATAAAGCAATAAATCAATAATTCCAAAATCAGAATTGAGGATTTTAAAAGCCCACTCTCAGCAGTTGATATAACTGAGCAAAAATTCAGCAGACATACAAAAATAAAAAAAATATACTTATCAGTTGACTTGACTAGTATTTATGGAAGTCAAACACAATAACATCAGAATATTTATTCTTTTCATGTACACACAGTATGTTACATGATAGACAAATATGCTGAACCATAAAGCAAGTCCCAATGATGTTTAAAAGAATGGAATTCTGACCATGATATAATCAAATATGAATAACAAAAAACTAAAAAGAATTTGGAAACTAAAACACACCTTTCTAAATAATAGATGAGTCAGAAAAGAAATCAAAAAAGAAATTATGAATTGTATTGAACTGAATGATAAAAAGTAAAAGTTGAGACATGTAGCTTAAGCAGTTTTTAGAGGGAAATTTATACCTTTAAGTATTTGTGTTAGAAAAGAAGGAAGTATAAGAAGTAAAAGAAAGAATGGCAAATTAAACTCAAAGTAAGTAGACAGAAGGCTTTATAAAGCTAAGAGCAGAAATCAACACAATTGAAGAAGTAAACCAGAGAAAATGAATGGAACTAAATTCTGGTTCTTGGAAAGATAAGTAAAATATGTAAGCTATTTTAGAAGGACCAAATTAAAAGAAATACAATGGAAATACCAATTTCTGGAATTAAAGACCAGGCATCACAGCAGATCCTACAGAAATTAAATGGATAATAGGAGAATATAATGAATAACACTATGCCCATAAATTTGACAACCTAGAATAAATTTTTTAAAGGATAAAAATGAACAAAACTATGCAAAGATAAACAGAAAACTTAACTACTCTTATGTTAAATATGGACATAGCCCTAATGAACATAGATACAAAATGCTTTAATGTTTTAGCAAGACGAATCTAACAATATGTAAAGATAATACATCATGACCAAATGTAGTTTATCAAAGTAATATAATGTTGGTGTACACCTCAGTAAGATGACAGACATCCCAACTGTATGTATGTATTTATGTATTTATTTGTATGCCATTTGTCATATTCGTTTTTTAAGCTTTGTCAAGGTATATATAACAGACATACAAAAATTTACATTGTTAATGCCTACATTTTGATGAATTTATATATATAAATATATAGTATCATCACCATCTAGATACTAAATATATTTATCACTTCCAAAAATGTCCTGGTGCTTTTGTGTGAGTGTATTTCTGTGTGTGCATAAGAACACTTAACATGAGATATATCTTAACATATTTTAAAGTGCAGAATACTGTACTGTTTACTGTATTATGCTGTACAACAGATCTCTAGAACTTACTCGTCTAGCACAACTGAAATTTTATACCCATTGAGCAAAAATTTCACATTACCCCTCCCCCATCCTGGCAACTATCATTCTTCTGTTTCTATGAGTTCAAATATTTGTGGTACCTCATATAAGTGGAATCATGCAGTATTTGTTCTGTGATTGGCATACTTAACATCACTTAGGTTTGTCTATGCTGTTCACAAAGAGTAGGATTGTCTTCTTGTTTAAAGCTTTGTGATATTCCATTGCATGTTTTCAAATCCATTCATCTGATGGATATTTGGGTTTTTTTCCATATTGTGACTATTATGAGTAATGTTGCCATCAACATGGAGGGGCAGATATATCTTCGAGATCCTGATTTCAATTTTTTGGGCTACATATCTATAAATTGAATTGCTAGTTAATATGGGAGTTCTATTTTTAATTTTTTGAGAATATTCACACTGTTTTCCATAGTAGCTGCACTATTCTTCATTTCCACCAACAATGTATAACAGTCCCAATTCCTCCACATCTTTATCAACACTTGACATTTTCTGTTTTTTAGGTAATGGTCATCTTAAAAGGTATGAGGTGATATTTCATTGTTCTTTTGATCTGCATCTCCCTGAAGATGAGTAGTGTTGAGCACCCTTTCATATATCTCGTGGCCATTTGTTTGTTTTTTTGAGAAATTTCAATTCATGTCCTTTGCCATTTTGTAATTGGGCTTTCTTCCTACTGAGTTGTAGGAGTTTCCTACATACTTTGGATATTAATCTCCTATCAGATGCACAGTTGCTAATATTTACTTTCAACACAGAGCTTGACTTTTTACTCTACTGTGTTGACTGTCTCCTTTGCTGTGCAGAAGTTTTTTAGTTTTTCTATTTTGGGGTTTTTGCTTGTGTTTTGGTGTCATATCTAATAAATCATTGCCAAGACTAATAAAGAAGGTCATAAACAAGGTTTTCCTTTATGCTTTCTTCAATAAGTTTTACAATTTCAAGTCCTACATTTAAGTCTTTAATCCATTTTGAGTTTATTTTTGTGCACAGTGTAAGACAGGGTTCCAATTGTATACTATGCATGTCAATACCTAGTCTTCCCAGTATCATTCACTGAAGAGACTATTCTTTCCACACTTTGTGTTCTTGACATCCTTGTCAAAGATATATTGACTGCATATCTGTGGGTTTATTTCTGGAATCTCTATTCTGTTTCATTGGTCTATGTGTCTGTCTTTATGTTAGAATCCCACTGTTTTAATTATTGTAGCTCAGTAACATATTTTGAAATCAGGAATTGTGATGCCTCCAGCTGTGTTCTTCTTTATCAAGATGACTTTGGCTATTCTTTTGTGGTTCTATATAAATTTTAGAATTGTTCATTTCTGTAAAAAATGTCATTCAGATTTTGATAGGAATTGAATCTGTAGATCACATTGGGTAGTACAGACATTTTAACAATATTAATTTTTTCAGTCTATGAACATGAGATGTCTTTTCATTTATTTGTGTCTGCTTTAATATATTTCATCAGTGTTTCATAGTTTCCATGTATACGTCTTTCCCCTTCTAAGTTATATTTATTCCTAAATATGTTATTATTTTTGGATGATATTGTAGACGTTATTGTTGTCTTATTTCCTTTTTAGTTAGTTCATTGCTACTCTGCAGAAATACAACTGATTTTTATATGTTGATTTTCTATCCTGCAACTTTTATACATTTGTTTATTAGTAACAATCTGAGTTTGAAATGGGCAAAAGTTTTAAATAGACACTTCACAAAAGTACATGCAAATAAATAAAAATCACATGGAAAGCCACTTAAAGTCTCCAGGCATCTAAGAATAAAAACTGTCCATGGAATGAAAACACTACAGATACAGTAATGTGGCTAACGTTAAAACTATTGAACATATCAAGTGCTACTGAGGATGTGGAACAAGCAGATCTATCATACATGTTTGGTGAGATTGCAAAGTGATCAAATATTCTAAAAAACAGTGAGGCCGTATCTTATAAAGTAACTGAGACAACAACCATAAGACCTTACAATTTTACTCCCAGGTATTTTCTAAATTAAAAATATGCTGATATATTATGTATCCATTATTTTAATAGACCAAAACCAGAAACAATCCAAATCTCCGTCAGCTGGTGAACAGATAAGCAAATTGTGGTATATTCCACACTGTGGAATACTATACAGCAAGGGTAAGATATTAATTAGTAACACATGCAAGAACATGGATAATTTAGTGAAGGAGATCAGACACAAAGTACTACATATTATATGACACCATTTGTGTGAATTTCTAAAAAAATTTAGGGTAACATGAAAAGGACAAGTGGTGTCCTGGGACCAGTGGTTGGTACAGGGAATCAAGAGTTCAGAATAAAAAAAATAGAGTCATGAAAATATTCCACATTTGGAATGTGGTAGAGGTTACATGCCTATATAGAATTATTAAAATTCATCAAACTTTACACTTCAAATGAGTACATTTTATGATATATAAGCTATATGTCAGTAAAATGAGACAACATTTTAAAGTCTCAAAGCACTCTTGTTGGTTTTTTGCTCTACATTATTTACATCCCAGTTTGAGTATTTTAGATTTTTTTTTTTTTTTTGTATTTTTACTCCAAGCTTTTTGTTTTCTCCATCTTGGTAACCTCTCAATTTTAGGACTTCAACTATTACTTTAAGTTGTCATGTTTAGGCTATAGGCCTCACATAATGACCTGGGTTCTTATATATCTCTCTGGCATTTCAAACTCAGCATTCAAAAACTGAAATGAGTCTAACCCTTTCAGATTTATCTCCCCAGTGTTGCCAGTATGATCTTTACGAAGAGCTGCTCTCATCATTTAATTCTTATTATAAGCTTCAGTGGCCCCCTGCAGCTGTAATGATGCAATCTCTACTCCTCCATCACAAGGAGTAGGCTTTATGATTTGACTTTGGCTTAGTTCTTCATTATCTACATCATGGCTCAAAAATTAAAATGTTTCAGGGTGTGTGTGAAGGAGGCAGAATGAAAGGGAAAAAAGTAGTACAGGCACATTTCATCAATGTCTCCATTGTCAGGAATCCACAGGTGTGCTGGTGAAATGGAGAGTGAAGGCATCACCTGGGGACTTTAGGAAGTTGTCCTACAGCTCTGTCTACTGGGCCCAGATTTCATAGTAAAATGTTATAACTAGATATTTGAAAGAAAAAAAACATACTTATAAATGTTAAACACTGAGTAAACCAAGTGAAATCTTCCAGCAGTCTGGATTGTTACTCTGTAGAAATGCAGTTGATTTTTGTATGTTGATTTTGTTTCCCGCAACTTTGCTGAATTCATTTATTGGTGACAATCCAAGTTTTAAATTGGCAAACATTTTAAACAGACACTTCACAAAAATATGTATGAATGAATAATAATTTAGACTTTCCACATGGAAAAGCCACTCAAAATCTCCAGACATCTGAGAAATAAAAACTGGCCATGATATGAAAACACTATACACGGTAATATGGCTAACATTAAAGCTATTGAACATACTACCTGCTACTGAGGATGTGGAACAAATAGATATCTCATACATATTTGGGGAGATTGCAAAGTGATCAGATACTCTGAAACACAGTGAGACTAGCAAATAATTAGCCCAGCAAAACACTGTCTTTTGTCACCTGAAAAAGCCTTATGTATATATACATTCTTTAGCATTTAACTTAGTTATCACTACTAAGGAAGGCTTCTTTAATTTCTTCTTTAAGAAAGTAGTATGATTTTAATGCCTCTTGTTTGTACTTCCAGGATATTTAATACTTACTGTCTACTCTATCAGATGTAGTTTATAAATACTTTACTAATACTAACTCATTTAATCTCCTTCTCAACACAATGAAGTAGGGGCTTTAATTATTCCCACTTCACAGATTGCGTAAATGTAGCACATAGCGGTTTAGTAACATTCCTAAAATATACAGTTAGTAAATAGTGAAGTCAGGATTCAAATCCTGATAATATAACAAGAGAGCCCATATTATTATTCACCATATTGCAATGATTCTCAGATTTTATGACATGGTACTGTAACAATCAGTGTGTGTATGTTTGCTCTCTGAACTGTTAAATACTTAATATCAGGGGTTCTGTTTTACTTTTTCTTTAATTCACCAGGCTTAGAACTTATTAAGCACCTACTAAATATGAATTGAATGAATGAATGCATGAATTATTGAATAAGATGAAGAGGTATGGAACATTTTCAATACTGTTTCTATTATGTTTAATGTTCAGAGGCTACATACGCAATATAAAATTCCAAACAATACAAAAAGTTGCAAAGTATAGATTGTATGAATTAAAATTCCTCTATTTTTTATTCTGTCTTGCTTCCCCTGTCCCTAAGGATAATTTCCAGAGATTTTATATTCTTTGAGAAATTTTACAAGAATCCCTATGATTTGAAAAAGGAATACAGAATCAACATAAGTAAATATTAGGCTCTATTTTAAGAAAAATACTCAAATTCTAGTCTCAAAAGAGATTAAAGTAAACATTCTATAGCCTTTATTTTTCTTTAAAACTATTAGAAAGTCATAGTGTAGCTTATCTTAACTATTTTATCTAGGGAAATTAAACTACAGTGTTTATTTTAATATTGCCAATGCTATTAAATTTAAACTTGAATTTGAACTGATGTAGGAAAAATGAGCTAGTCTAAGCCACTCAGAAAATAGTAGCCTATTGGTTGTCCTGCAACATGGAAGGGAAAACTAGCAGGATCTGGACTCAGGACAGACGCTGCTTAGCAAATTCCAACTACAAATTAGTTGGTGGGAAGGAGATCAAAAGACCTAAGTATACAAACACTTATAGATTGATGACCAGTACTCTACATGTATGATCAGGATTCCAGATAGCTTGATGAGAAGACAGAATTGAGGCATAAAGAGGTACAAGGCTGAAACATTACTTAGGTAATAAGTACCAGACAGATAAAAACTTCTTATTGTGTGATACAAGAATTAACAACACCTGCTATAAAGACACATGCACACGTATGTTTATTGCGGCACTATTCACAATAGCAAAGACTTGGAACCAACCCAAATGTCCAACAATGATAGACTGGATTAAGAAAATGTGGCACATATACACCATGGAATACTATGCAGCCATAAAAAATGATGAGTTCATGTCCTTTGTAGGGACATGGGTGAAATTGGAAATCATCATTCTCAGTAAACTATCGCAAGGACAAAAAAACCAAACACCACATGTTCTCACTCACAGATGGGAATTGAACAATGAGAACACATGGACACAGGAAGGGGAACATCACACTCTGGGGACTGTTGTGGGGTGGGGGGAGGGGGGAGGGATAGCATTAGGAGATATACCTAATGCTAAATGACGAGTTAACGGATGCAGCACACCAGCATGGCACATGTATACATATGTAACTAACCTGCACATTGTGCACATGTACCCTAAAACTTAAAGTATAATAATAATGATAATAATAATAAAAAGAATTAACAACACCAAATACAAGGCAATACTGTTGCTATATCAAATCTCCAAATAAAACCTCAAAATAACAGTAAATATATTCTACTTCTTTGGAGTGCCTATGTTTGGAAGGAGTTGGACTATTTTACTCAGTGCCTACAGGCTGACTATGTCTGGTAATCCATCAATCAAATAATTACTTTCCCCAAGGCTCCCTTACGGCCCATCTCCAGAGAAAAGAATCTGCGGCTCTGCATCTGAGCAAGAATGTGTCAGATACATTTTCAAACAGCCAATTCTGCCACGTGCAAGCATGCCTAGGACCTAAAGCATGTTGCTCTTTTTAGTCAACAATACAGATAATTAGGGTTATCCCTGGGCTTCTGTCAGGGATTTCAACCATAAACTGATGAAATCCAGGGCTTGTCAAAATCATGCTGGCAGCATCTGTTAGTTGTGGGAAAATTTTAACTATTTATTAAGTATCAATTAGGTATCAAGCCACATGTGGAAAAGCATTAGGTATTATGAATATAAAAACTTTAGGAAGATAGGCAGGAAAATGGCAGATAGGAGACAAGACTAATGTGAAGCTCCCACTTGACAGAACAGTACGTGCAGACTCACATTGTGAACTTTTGCTCCAAGAACTAGCACAGGACCATACTAGGAAAACCAAAAGAATTCACAGACCCTTTGAAAGCAGAAGCTTGCTGCTGCAAACTCCATAAGACATCTGAAAACTGTTAGTTCCCAATGTGTGAGAGGGGAAAATCTGCCTCCAGACACTCATCCCCACTGGGGAACCTTAAAATCCAGATCACGGAAGAAGGATTTAACCTTACCTAGAGTTGAAACAGATTTAGAGAGCCAAGTGAAATATAAAGTAGAAGAAGCAATGGGAAGAGCCCCGTAGGCAGTCCTGGCTCCCAGCTTGAGCCCAAGGAAGCCATCCCTGGCTTTATTTCACAGGGGTCCTTGGGGAAGGCAGCCAGTGGAATGGGGGAGGGGCCACAGGGTGAAGGAAAGTTCTAGCTGAACTTTACAATAATTTCCACTGAGTATGAATTTTCCTGAGCATAATCCAGGGGGGCGAACAAGAAGTGCAGATAGGATACGAGCACAGAAGCCACAGATGATGGTGCAGGCAGCTGGCGAGGGGTGAGAACTGAGAATTCTGTTTGCTTTCTCAGTGGGGAGGCTGGTAGCCTGGGGCAAGATCTGAGCCCTGTGCACCAGCAGCCTGGATATAAACTCTGACCTATGGCAGGGCGCAACAGCGAGGCCTGTCACTGCCGGATATACCCCAAACTTCCCTGACAACCTGTATGATGCAGCAGAGTCAGCCACAATCCCCCTTGGAACATAACTCCATTGCCCTGAGAACCAACCCCCCCGCCCCACAGAGGCCTTAGCAAGCCCCACCCAAAGACAGCCTGAGCTCAGGCCTGCCTAATTATGCCCCCAGCTGATGGTTTTTCTCTACCCACCCTGGTAGCCAAAGACAAAAGACATGAACTGGGAGCTACTTGGCCCTGCCCATCACCTGAGAAACCTGAACACCTATCCTGGCCAAGGTAGGCAAGCTTATATCCCACTTCTACTACTGCAGCTGGTGCTCTCTTGAAAGTGTCACTCCCTGGCCAGAGGCCAAAGATCTCAAGCCATTACATCAAGTGATAACTGAATAACCCTGCTCCAAAGAAGGAGAAAACAACAGCTACTTTTACCACTTGCAACTTCTTGGCTAATCAGAAGTCCTGAGTCTGTCCACCTGGCAACTTCACTGCTAGCATAACCAGCATTTGAGAAAACCAGCACACTAACCAAAACTACAACTAAGGACCCTCACAGAGTCCACTTCACTCCCTGCAACCTCCGCTGAAGCATGTGCTGGTATCCATGGCTTGGAGGCCTGAGGATGGATCATTTCACAGGATTTTTTGCAGACATTCCACAGCACGAGCCAGAGCCTGGTAGCCCTGATGGGTGGCTAGACCCAGAAGGGCAATAACAATCACTGCAGTCTGGCTCTCAGGAAGCCCCTTCCCTAGGGGAAGGGGGAGAACACCACATCCAGGGATCACCCTGTAGGACAAAATAATCTGAACAGTGGGTCTTGAGATCCGTTCTTTCCACTGAAACAGTCTACCCAAATGAGAAGGAACCAGAAAAGTAATTCTGGTAATATGACAAAACAAGGTTCTATAACACCCCCAAAAGATCATACTAGCTTTCCAGCAATGGATCTAAACCAAGAAATCTCTGAATTGCCAGATAATGAATTCAGAAGGTTGATTATTAAGCTACTCAAGGACATACCAGAGAAAGGTGAAAAACAACATAAAAAATTAAAAAAAAAAAACCAAATACAGGGAAAGGATGAAAAAGTCTCCAGAGAAATAAATGTCATAGAGAAAAGACAATCACAACTTCTGGAAATGAAAGACACACTTAGAGAAATATAAAATTCACTGAAAAGTTTCAACAATAGACTAGAACAAATAGAAGAAAGAACATCAGAGCTTGAAGACAAAGCTTTCTAATTAACCCAATCTGACGAATACAAAGAAAAAAGAATTTTTAAAAGAATAAAGCCTCAAAGAAACTTGGGATTATGTTAAACAACCAAACATAAGAATAGTAAATATTCCTGAGGAAGAAGAGCAATCTAAAAGTTTGGTAAACTTATTTGAGGGAATAATTGAGGAAAACTTCACAGGCATTGCTAGAGATCTAGACATCCAAATACAAGAAGCTCAAAGAATACTCAGAAAATTCATTGCAAAAAGATTATCACCTAAGCACATAGTCATCAAGTTATCTAAAGTCAAGACAAAGGAAAGAATCTTAAGAGCTGTAACGCAAAAGCATCAGATAACCAATAAAACAAAGCTGATCAGATTAACAACAGGTTTCTCAGCAGAAAATCTACAAGCCAGAAGGGATTGGGGACCTTTATTTAGTTTCCTTAAACAAAAGAATTAGCAGCCAAGAATGTTCTATGAAGTGAAACTAAGCTTCATAAATGAAGGAGAGATAAAGTCTTTTTTCAGACAAACAAATGCTGAGATAATTCACTACCACCAAGCCAGAACTACAAGAAATGCTAAGAAGGAGTTCTAAATCTTGAAACAAAACCTTGAAATACACCAAAATAGAACCTCCTTAAACCATAATCTCATCGGGCCTATAAAATAATAACACAATAAAAGAAGGTATTCAGACAACAACTAGAATGATGAATTAAAAAGTAACACACATCTCAATACTGACATCACATGTAAATGGCCTAAATGCTCCACTTAAAAGATAGAGAATGGCAGAATAGATAGAAATTCATCAACCAAGAATCTGTTGTCTGCAAAAAACTTATCTAACATAAGGACTCACATAAACTTAAGGTAAAGAGGTGGAAAAATATATTCCATGCAAATGGAAACCAAAATTGAGGAGTAGCTAGTCTTATATCAGACAAAACAGATTTAAAAGCAATGACAGTTAAAAAAGACACAGAGGGACATTATATAGTGATAAAAGGATCGGTCCAATAGGAAAATATTACAACCCTAAGTATATCAGCACCTAGCACTGGAGCTCCTACATTTATAAAACAATTACTGCTAGACCTAAGAAATGAGATAGATGGCAACACAATAATAGCAGAACACTTCAATACTCCACTGACAGCACTAGACAGGTCATCAAGACAGAAAGTCAACAAATAAGCAATGGACTTAGACTATACGATAGAACAAATGGACTTAACAGATATTTACAGAACATTCTACCCAACAATTGCAGATATACATTATTTTCATCAGCATATGGAACATTCTCTAAGATAGACCATATGATAGGTCACAAAACAAGCCTCAATAAATTTAAGAAAATCAAAATTATATCAAGTACCCTCTCAGATAATGGTAGAATAAAATTGGAAATTACCTCCAAAAGGAACCCTCAAAACTACACAAATACATAGAAATTAAATAATCTTCTCTTGAGTGATCTTTGGGTCAACAATGAAATCAAGATGGAAATTTTAAAAATTATTTGAACTAAATGATAATAGTGACACAACATATCAAAACCTCTAGGATACAGCAAAAGTGGTGCTAAGAGGAAAGTTCAGACCATTAAATGGTACATCAAAAAGTCTGAAAGACCACAAATAGAAAATCTAAGATCACACCCCAAGGAACTAGAAAAACCATGAACAAACCAAACTCAAACCCAAGAGAAGAAAATAAATAACAAAGATCATAGCAGAACTAAATGAAATTTAAACAACAATGACAACAACAAAACAATACAATAGATAAATGAAACAAAAAGGTGTTTCTTTGAAAAGATAAACAAAATTGATGGACCATTAGAGAGATTAACCAAGACAAAAAAAGGAAGACCCAAATAAGCTTGATTAAAAATGAAGCGGGAGATATTACAACTGACACCAGAGAAATACAAAACATCATTCGAGGCTACTATGAACACCTTTACATGCACAAACTAGAAAACCGAGAGAAGATGGATGAATTCCTGGAAATATACTACACTCTCAGATTAAACAAGGAAGAAATAGAAACTCTGAACAGACCAATAACAAGTAGCAAGGTTAAAACAGTAATAAACAAAATGCCAACAACAACAAAAAAAAGTCCAGGACCAGATGGATTCACAGTGGAATTTTATCAGACATGCAAATGGGAATTGGTAACAATTCTACTGAAACTATTTCAAAAAATAAAAAGAGAATCCTTCCTAAATCATTTTATGAAGCCAATATCACCCTAATACCAAAACCAGGAAAGGAAATCACAAAAACAACAAAAAACTACAGACCAATACTCCTGACGAACATAAATGCAGAAATCTTCAACACTTATACATTGCTTGTGGTAATGTAAACTGGTACAACCACTATAGAAAATAGTATGGAGACTCCTTAAGGAACTAAAAGTAGAACTATCATTTGATCCAGCAACTTCACTACTGGATATCTACCCAGAGGAAAAGAAGTCATTATGTGAAAAAGACACTTGCACATGCATGTTTATAGTGGTACAACACACAATTGCAAAGATATGGAACCAGCCTAAATGCCCATCAACCAATGAGTAGATAAAGAAAATTTGGTATATATAGATACCATGGAATACTATACGGCCATAAAAAGGAATAAAATAATGGCATTTGCAGCAATCTGGATAAAGTTGGAGATCATTATCCTAAGTGAAGTAACACAGGAATGGAAAACCAAACATGGTATGTTCTCAAAAGTGGAGCTAAGGAATAAGAATGCAAAGGCATAAGAATGATATAATAGACTTTGGGAACTCAAGGGAAAGGCTGAGAGAGGGGTGAGGGATAAAAGACTGCACATTGGGTACAGTGTACACTGCTCAGGTGATGAGTGTACCAAAATCTCAGAAATCACCATTAAAGAACTTACCCATGTAACTAAACATCTCCTGTTCCCCAAAACTATTGAAATACTGAAAGAAAGAAAGAAAGAAAGAAAGAGAGAGAGAGAGAGAGAGAGAGAAAGAAAGAAAGAAAGAAAGAAAGAAAGAAAGAAAGAAAGAAAGAAAGAAAGAAAAAGAAAGAAGGAAGGAAAGAAATTCTTTAATAAGACTTTGATATGGTTTGGCTGTGTCCCCACCCAAAATCTTATCTTGATTTGTAATCTCCCAAATCTCCATGATCCCCATGTGTCAAGGGTGGAAACAGGTGGAGTTACTTGGATCATGGAGAGGGTTTTGCACATCCTGTTCTTGTGATAATGAGTGGGTCTCAAAAGATCTGATGGTTTTATAAGCATCTGGCATTTCTCCCACTTGCAATCACTTCGTCCTGCCACCCTATGAAGAAGGTGCCTGCTTCACCTTTGCCTTCCATCATGACTGTAAGTTTCTTGAATCCTCCCCACCCATGTGGAACTGTGAGTCAATTAAACCTTTTTCCTTTACAAATTACCGAGTCTTGATTATTTCTTCACAGCAGTGTGAGAACGGACTAATAAATTGGTACCACAGATTGAGGTACTGCTATAAAGATACCCGAAAATGTGGAAGTGACTTTGGAACTAGGTAAAGGCAGATATTGGAACAGTTTGGAGGGGTTAGAAGACAGGAAGTCGTGGGAAACTTTGGAACTTCCTAGAGACTTGTTGAATGGCTTTGACCAAAATGCTGATAGTGATATGGACAATAAAGTCCAGGCTGGGGTGGTCTCAGATGGAGATAAGGAACTTGGAACTGAAATAAAGGTGACTCTTGCTATGCTTTAGCAAAGAGACTGGTAGTATTTTACCCGTGCCCTAGAGATCTGTGGAACTGTGAGCCTGAGAGAGATGATTTAGGGTATCTGGTGGAAGAAATTTCTATGCAGTAAAGCATTTAAGATGTGACTTGGCTGCTCTTAGAAGCATTCAGTTTTATGCATTCACAAAGATGGTTTGAAATTTGGAACTTACGTTTAAAAGAGAAGTAGAGAATAAAAGTTTGGAAAATTTGCAGCCTTAGGACGTGATAGAAAAGCCTATTTTCTGAGGAGAAATTCAAGCTGGCTGCAGAAATTTTCATAAGTAACAAGGAGCCAAATGTTAGTCACCAAGACAATGGAGAAAATGTCTCTCGGGCATGTCAAAGGTCTTCACAGCAGCCTCTGTCATCACAAGCCTGGAGGCCTAGAAGGAAAAAACTGTTTCATGGGTTGGGGGCCTTGCTGCTTTGTGCAGTCTTGGGACTTGATGCCCTGCATCTCAGCTGCTTCAGCTGCAGTTATGGCTAAAAGGGGCCAAGGTACAGCTTAGGCCATTGTTTCAGAGGGTACAAACCCCAAGTCTTGTCAGCTTCCATGTGGTGTTGAGCCTGTGGGTGCACAGAAGTCAAGAATTGAGATGTAGGAACCTCCACCTAGATACCAGAGGATGTATGGAAACACCTAGATGTCCAGGCAGACATTTGCTGCAAAAGTAGAGTCCTCATGGAGAACCCCTGCTAGGGTAGTACAGAAGGAAAATGTGGGGTTGGAACCCCCACACAGAATCCCCACTGGGGCACTGCCTAGTGGAGCTGTGAGAAGAGGGCCATCATCCTCCAGACCCCAGAATGGTAGATCCACTGACAGCTTGCACCGTGTGCCTTGAAAAGCTGCAGACACTCAATGCCAGCTGATGAAAGCAGCAGAGAGGGGACCTGTACCCTGCAAAGCCACAGGAACAGAGCTGCCCGAGGCTGTGGGAGCCCATCTCTTGCATCAATGTGACCTGGATGTGAGACGTGAGACATGGAATCAAAGGAGATCATTCTGGAACTTTTGTTTTGTTTTGAGATGGAGTCTCGGAGTCTCGCTCTGTTGCCCAGGCTGGAGTGCAGTGGGACAGTCTCGGCTCACTGCAACCTCTGCCTCCCAGGTTCAAGCGATTCTCCTCCCTCAACCTCCTAAGTAGCTGGGATTACAGGCACGTGCCACCATGCCCAGATAATTTTTGTATTTTTAGTAGAGACAGGTTTTCACCATGTTGGTCAGGCTGGTGTCAAACTCCTGACCTCATGATCCGCCCACCTCAGCCTCCCAAAGTGCTGGGATTACAGGCGTGAGCCACCACGCCCAGCCCATTATGGAACTTTAAGGTTTAATGATTGTCCTATTCAATTTTGGACTTGCATGGGGCCTGCAACCCTTCTGTTTTGGCCAATGTCCGTCATTTGGAGTGGGTGTATTTGCCCAGTGCCTGTACCCTACTGTATATAGGAAGTACCTAACTTGATTTGATTTTATAGACTCATAGGCAGAAGGGACTTGCCTTGTCTCAGATGAGACTTTGGACTTCGACTTTTGGGTTAATGCTGGAATGAGTTAAGAATTTGGGGGACTGTTGGAAAAGCATTATTGTGTTTTGAAATGTGAGGGCATGAGATTTAGTGGGGGTCAGGGGCGGAATGATATGGTTTGACTGTGTCCTCACCCAAAATCTCATCTTGAATCATAATTCTCATAATCCGTATATGTCAAGGGCAGGACCCAGTGGAGGTAACTGGGGCATGTGGGTGGTATCCCCTGCACTCACTCCATCCTGCCGCCCTATGAAGAAGATGCCTGCTTCTCCTTTGCCTTCTGCCATGATTGTAAGTTTCCCACATCCTCCCCAGCCACACATAACCATGAGTCAATTAAACTTCTTTCCTGTTATAAATTACCTAGTTTCAGATATTTCTTCATAGCAGTGTGAGAATGGACTAATACAGACTTTAAGAAGCATAAACTATAGAAAGAAAAATTATTGAGTTTGCATCAGTATCAAAGATTTCTGAATAACAAGAACGATCAATACAGTTAACAGATGAGTGACCCTCTGGAGAAAGATACTTATGGCATCTAAAAGGGACAAATGGTTAATAAACAATATACGAGCAATTCCTTTTTTTAAAAAAAAAGCTTTTGGATGAACAAGTGTGTAAATTCACATTATTTTTTGAGTAAGGACAAAGAAAATGAGACAAGATTTTGCTTATGGAAAAAAAATGCCCACTATAGTCCTATTAATTATAAATTGTGTAGAAAATTATTATTCAAGGATGTAACTTATTACCTAATTTTAGCAGAAAAAATAAATCAGGGATTTCCATAGGCCTATCAAAATATGGTGCAACTTTCTATAATGATCTAATAAAATTTGTGTATAAGTTTCTTGTGGATATAATCTATATCTATTCAACATTCTCATCCATTCTTTGTCTAACATACTGCATCAGGCACTTATAAAAATAGAACAAACGTTTTCTTAATAAATAATAGACCTCAATCATAAAGTCCAGAAAACATACACTCATTCAACAAATGTTGATTAAACTATATGTTCCAAACATTGTGCTATGTACTAGATGTAGACTGCACAAATATAAGCATAATGCTGTTTTCATGAAACATACAGGTTAATGGAGACAAAAAAGCACAGTGATGATAAATGATATGTGGCATAAATAATAGAATTCTATGATAATTAATAACTATTACTGAGATAATATTGTCATTGAAAAGGGTTTTCATCTTCTCTCAGGAGTTGTCATTAAAAAAGGAGTCAGTCCTCCAGGAGCTGGTTATTTGAAAAGATCAACAAAACTGATAGACTGCTAGCCAGACGAATAAAGAGGAAAAGAGAGAAGAATCAAATAGATGCAATAAAAAAATGGCAAAGGGGATATCACCACTGATCCCACAGAAATACAAACTACCATCAGAGAATACTGTAAACACCTCTATGCAAATAAACTAGAAAATCTAGAAGAAATGGATAAATTCCTGGACACATACACCCTCCCAAGACTAAACCAGAAAGAAGTTGAATCTCTGAATAGACCAATAACAGGCTCTGAAATTGAGGCAATAATTAATAGCCTACCAACCAACCAAAGTCCAGGACCAGACGGATTGACAGCCGCATTCTACCAGAGGTACAAAGAGGAACTGGTACCATTCCTTCTGAAACTATTCCAATCAATAGAAAAAGAGGGAATCCTCCCTAACTCATTTTATGGGGCCAGCATCATCCTGATACCAAAGCCTGGCAGAGACACAGCAACAAAAAAGATAATTTTAGACCAATATCCCTGACGAATATCGATGTGAAAATCCTCAATAAACTACTGGCAAACCGAATCTAGCAGCACATCAAAAAGCTTATCCACCACAATCAAGTCGGCTTCATCCCTGGGATGCAAGGCTGGTTCAACATACACGAATCAATAAATGTAATCCATCACATAAACAGAACCAATGACAAAAACCACATGATTATCTCAATAGATGCAGAAAAGGCCTTCGACAAAATTCAACACCCCTTCATGCTAAAAACTCTCAATAAACTAGGTATTGATGGGCCGTATATCAAAATAATAAGAGCTATTTACGACAAACCCACAGCCAATATCATACTGAATGGGCAAAAACTGGAAGCATTCCCTTTGAAAACTGGCACAAGACAGGGATGCCCTCTCTCACCACTCCTATTCAACATAGTGTTGGAAGTTCTGGCCAGGGTAATCAGACAAGAGAAAGAAAGAAAGGGTATTCAGTTAGGAAAAGAGGAAGTCAAATTGTCTCTCTTTGCAGATGACATGATTGTATATTTAGAAAACCCCATCGTCTCAGCCCAAAATCACTGTCAGCTCATAAGCAACTTCAGGAAAGTTTCGGATACAAAATCAACGTGCAAAAATCACAACCATTCCTATACACCAATAACAGACAAACAGAGAGCCAAATCATGAGTGAACACCCATTCACAATTGATACAAAGAGAATAAAATACCTAGGAATCCAACTTACAAGGGAAGTGAAGGACCTCTTCAAGGAGAACTACAAACCACTGCTCAACAAAATAAAAGAGGACACAAACAAATGGAAGAACATTCCATGCTCATGGATAGGAAGAATCAATATCGTGGAAATGGCCATACTGCCCAAGGTAATTTATAGATTCAATGCCATCCCCATCAAGCTACCAATGACTTGCTTCACAGGATTGGAAAAAACGACTTTAAAGTTCATATGGCACATGTATACATATGTAACAAACCTGTACGTTGTGCACATGTACCCTAGAACTTAAAGTATAATAAATATATATATATATATAAAATAAATAAAGTTCATATGGAACCAAAAAAGAGCCCCCATAGACAAGACAATACTAAGCAAAAAGGACAAAGCTGGAGGCATCATGCTACCTGACTTCGAACTATACTACAAGGCTACAGTAACCAAAACAGCATGGTACTGCTACCAAAACAGAGATATAGACCAATGGAACAGAACAGAGCCCTCAGAAATAACACCACACATCTACAGCCATCTGATCTTCGACAAACCTGACAAAAACAAGAAATGGGGAAAGGATTCCCTATTTAATAAATGGTGCTGGGAAAACTGGCTAGCCATATGTAGAAAGCTGAAACTGGATCCCTTCCTTACACCTTATACAAAAATGAATTCAAGATGGATTAAAGACTTAAATGTTAGACCTAAAACCATAAAAACCCTAGAAGAAAACCTAGGCAATACTGTTCAGGACATAGGCATGGGCAAGGACTTCATGACTAAAACACCAAAAGCAATGGCAACAAAAGCCAAAATAGGTAAATGGTATCTAAATAAACTAAAGAGCTTCTGTATGGCAAAAGAAACTACCATCAGAGTGAACAGGCAATCTGCAGGATGGGAGAAAATTTTTGCAATCTACCCGTCTGACAAAGGGCTAATACCCAGAATCTACAAAGTACTCAACAAATTTACATGAAAAAAAACAAACAACCCCATCAACAAGTGGGCGAAGGATATGAACAGACACTTCTCAAAAGAAGACATTTGTGCAGTAAACAGACACACAAAAAAATGCTCATCATCACTGGGTCATCAGAGAAATGCAAATCAAAACCACAATGAGATACGATCTCGCACCAGTTAGAATGGTGATCATTAAAAAGTCAGGAAACAACAGATGCTGGAGAGGATGTGGAGAAACAGGAACACTTTTACACTGTTGGTGGGACTGTAAAATAGTTCAACCATTGTGGAAGACAGTGTGGTGATTCCTTAAGGATCTAGAACTAGAAATACCATTTGACCCAGCCATCCCATTACTGGCTATATTCCCAAAGGATTATAAATCATGCTACTATAAAGACACATGCACACATATGTTTAATTGTGCCACTATTCACAATAGCAAAGACTTGGAACCAACCCAAATGTCCATCAATGATAGACTGGATTAAGAAAATGTGGCACATATACACCACGGAATACTATGCAGCCCTAAAAAACGATGAGTCCATGTCCTTTGCAGAGACATGAATGAAGCTGAAAACCATCATTCTGAGCAAACTATCGCAAGAACAGAAAACCAAACACCGCATGTTCTCACTCTCAGATGGGAATTGAACAATGAGAACACTTGGACACAGGGTGGGGAACATCACACGCTGGGGCCTGTCCGGGGGTGGGGGGCTGGGGGAGGGATAGCATTAGGAGAAATACCTAATGTAAACGACGAGTTGATGGGTGCAGCAAAGCAACATGGCACATATACACCTATGCATCAAACCTGCATGTGGTGCACATGTACCCTAGAACTTAAAGTATAATGATAAATAAATAGATAATAAAAAATAAAAAAGGTGTTAGTCATGGGTGCCAGACTACAGCAAACAAGGAGAATCACTTAAGGGGTTAGATAAGATTCTGTTTTTCACTCTTTAAAAAGAATTGTAATTTTTAATTTTTATGGATACATAGTAAATATACATATTTATTGGGGTACATGATATATTTTGATACAGGGTAAATGAGGCAGCCATCACCTCAAGCATTTATCCTTTGTGTTACAAACAATCCAATTATTCTCTTTTAGTTATTTTAAAATGTATAACAAATTATTGTAGACTGTAGTCACCTATTATGCTGTCAAATACCACATCTTGTTCATTCTATCTAACTATATTTTTGTACCATCAACATCCCCACTGCCCCCTGCCGACTACCCTTCTCAGCCTGCGGTAACAATCATTCAACTCCCTATCTCCACGAGTTCAATTGTTTTAATTTTTAACTTCCACTATACTACACAAATGGGTGGGAGCATGCAGCTTGTTTTTCTGTGCCTGGCTTATTTCACTTAAAATAATGTTCCCCAGTTACATTCATGTTGTTACAAATGAGAGGATCTTATTCTTTTTTATGGCTGTCTATTACTTCATTTCATTTATTTCATTGGAAGTTCATTTATTTCTGCTCTGACGTTTATTATTTCTTTTCTATACTTCTGGGTTTGCTCTCACTTTTCTATTAATTTTTTGTTTGTTTTTTGTTAGCTGATGTATTTATCATTATACTTTAAGTTCTGGGATACATTTTCTATTATAGTTCTTTAAGGTGCACCATTAGGTTGTTTATTTAAAGTTTCTACTTTTTCATGTAGGCACTTATTGCTACAAACTTTCTTCTTAGTACTGCTTTATCTGTATCCCATAGGTTTTTGTATGTTGTGTTTCCATTTTCATTTAAGAAATGTTTAAATTTCCTTCTTAATTTCTTCATTGACTTGCTGGTCCATCGGGAGTATGTTGTTTAATTTGCATGTGTTTGAATAGTTTCCAAAGTTATCATTATTGATTTCTAGTTTTATTCCACTGTTGTCAGAGGAGATACTTGATATTATTTCAATTTATTTGAAATTTTTATGACTTGCTTTGTGGCCTAATATATGGTCTATCCTTGGGAATGATCCATGTGTTGAGGAGAAGAATATGGATTCTGCAGCTGTTCTGTAAATATTTATCAGATGCATTTGGTTTATAGTGCAGATTAAGTCTGATGTTTCTTTGCTGATTTTCGGTCTTGATGATATAGCTAATGCTGAAAGAGGGCTGTTAAACTCTCCAGCTATTATTGTATTGTATTGGAGTCTCTTTCTCTTTAGTTCTACTAATATTTGCTTTATATATCTGGGTGCTCCAGTGTTAGGTGCATATTTATTTACAATTGTTATAGCCTCTGGTTGAATTGACACATCTATCATCATATAGTGACCTTCTTTGTCTACTTTTACAGTTTTTGTCTTGAAATCTAGTTTGTCTCATATAAGTATAGCTTCTCCTGCTCTTTTTTGGTTTCAGTTTGCATGAGATACCTTTTTGTTTTCAGCCTACCTGTGTCCTTATAGATGACGTGTATTTCTTATAGGCAACAGATCCTTTGGTCTTGTTTATTTATCCATTCAGCCACTCTATGTCTTTTGATTGGAGAGTTTAGTCCATTTACATTCAGTGTTATTGATAAATAAAGACTTACTCCTGCCATTTTGTTATTGCTTTCTTGTTTTTTTTTTTTTTGGAAGATTTTTAGAACATAATTTTAAGATATTTTCTAAGAAAAATGTTCTGAAAATGATTTCTAGCTTACATGTTCCATACCTGAAAGAAAGCATAGTATGTGTAGAAAGTATGTGAATGGAGATGGAAAGATGCCTGCAATACTGTCCATTCTTTCGTATCACACAGTGTTTGAAATTTATAGGAATCCATGTTGTTGGGAGATGCTGAAATTTGCTGCCAGTAAATACTTCTCCTTTAGCCTGGGTATACAGGTAGCATAAAAGAACAGGGAAGCCAAGGATTTTAGAAATCAAACATTCAGTCTCGTATTTCCTGGCTTTTTTTTTTTTTTCACAAAAGTATATGCTGAAATTAAGAAAATTTGTTTTCCTACTTTCTACTGAAATATGATCTCCTTGTAACATTTGGCTTCGTGTCGTTCCTGTATCATTCTGTTGGCACTGTTCATACACTTACCTGTGTGGCACTTGTTTGTCTATAAACATGTTTTTTTTTTCCAATAGGTTGGAAGCTTCAATAAAGGTAAGGATTGGATGCCAATTCTAAAAAGATACTAGCTGCCTCCAATGAAATCTGGTTAAGTGCAGAATAATTTCTACAGAAAACAACTCTTTTATTTAAAATGATTTTTTACTGTTAAAAAATAGAAACAGTAGCCTGGAAATGGAGAAAAATCTATCTCTGAGTTTCACTGTAAATACTAAAAACTCAGTAGGCTTGTTTCAAGGGAATGGGAACTGGACCTTTTATTTGCTTTTCTGTTACCATTTAGGCAAATATAAAATTTACAGCTGGTCTCTCTTATGCTGTCAGAGCAATTTGACTTTTCTTTTTGGATTTGACAAGAGGGAATATTCTTGTCTTGAATGCCATTAATAGTAATGTAACAAATGTACATCAGCTATGAATGAATCCCAAATGCTTTAAATAGGTCTATGTAAAGAAATGCATAAAACAAAGGATGAAAAGAAAGTGCTACCAAGGGAAGGGGAGCTGTAGTTGTATGCTGTTACGTTCTAAGCATCAGTTGATATTCGGATTCTGTTTCACCAAAAAAACAAAACAAAACAAAACAAAACAAAAAAACAAAAAAAAAACCCTAAAACACCTATTTTTTGTGTATGAACTATTAAGTGACAATCACCTCAAGACTAGCTTGCTTTCTTTTTAACATAAGAATCTAAAATACACTAAGAATGAAAACTTGCAGGAGTCCTTTGATAAAGAAAAATTCCGTCTCTTATATCAAGTTTAATATTTCTAATAAGCAGGTGCCAACATTTATCTAACATGACATTCCCATTCCCTGCAGTAATACAATGCTAATTGATCAAAGTTTACGAACGCAAAATGTATTTTATTAAACATAGCATGAGAGCAGAATATGTAGAGTGTGCTTGTGCTTGTATTTGGTTGACATAACACTTAATTTTTTTTTCGTCTACTCAGCATGAATGTTAAACTGTTGGGAAATATATCTAGCTTAGGCAGTCTATGGTCACTTTTGCAAGCAGAAAAAAAAGCATCTCTTAGTTCTGGCATCAGGTGGACCAGATCCCTTCATTTTTACTTGTAGATATTTTAGACAAGTTAAGCATGTGTTAGATTTAAGCCACTGTCTTTCAAAATACCAACTTCTTTATTAAAGTCTTTTATTTTCACATGGCAGTCCATAAACCTTTCTGATTTTTTCAACAGGTCTTTCAAGTTCTATTGCTGATTCTAAAGAATTGGATTTTTTAGGAGGAGGAAGAGTGGGAGTAGCTAGAGACAGTGTGTTAGTGATCAATAGCCATATGCTTAGATTCATGCAGTTTATGTTTATATCCTATTTCTACCTCTTGTGATTTGTGTTAACTTGATTAATGGGTACTTTTCTCTTCCATCAAGTTTTCTTTTCCATAAAGAGATACAATATCAGCACTTCCCTCATGAGGTAGCTGTGAAGGTCAAATAAGGCAACATAAATGAAGTGTTTAGTGTGGGGAATGGCAATTGTAAATGCTTTATTAAATTACCTACCATCTTGTTATTACTATTATCACAAGTAAAAAGTTAAATGTCACATAAATGGAGGCTATACTTAGAATGAGTGTGTTAAGAATGTATAGTTACCTTATATGCATACAATTTCTACTGAATAAATTAAAAATTATTTTTAAGAGTTAGATTTAAAATAATTTTCATTGATAATATGATGTAGATTTTTGTCAAATTTAATGGTATATTAGAAACAAATTTATTTCAAAGGTTGATTTCCTGATGGAAGCAGTGTATTACTACAAATACTCTCATTTTCTACATATTGCCATTATTTTAAAATAATCTAGATTAATTTTCAGGGGTAGTAAATGTTACCAGTTGTCATCTTTCCACAAAAGCAGTCAGGTGGCCGGGCGCGGTGGCTCACGCCTGTAATCCCAGCACTTTGGGAGGCCGAGGCGGGCGGATCACGAGGTCAGGAGATCGAGACCACGGTGAAACCCCGTCTCTACTAAAAATACAAAAAATTAGCCGGGCGCAGTGGCGGGCGCCTGTAGTCCCAGCTACTCGGGAGGCTGAGGCAGGAGAATGGCGTGAACCCGGAAGGCGGAGCTTGCAGTGAGCGGAGATCGCGCCACAGCACTCCCGCCTGGGCGACAGAACGAGACTCCGTCTCAAAAAAAAAAAAAAAAAAAAAAAAAAAAGCAGTCAGGTTTCCTTTTATCTTATTAGCATGACATTCAAATCTTATTTTCTAATCAAAACATTTTGGGATCAATTATGCTAACAAAGGTTAAATGGAAATATGAAAAGAAAAATTAGTTTTTTCTTGAACACATATTTGAATTCAATTTTGAAAAGGGGACATGGGAGTTATCACTATTTGAATTAGGCAATTTCTATTAATTTTAGAAAATACAGTACTACTTGTTTGATGGGAGCAACAAATATTTTATAAAGATTTAATGTTTATAAATTTATAAAATTCCTTACAATAGAAAATGATTACTTTTATATTCAAGCAGAATTTACCATACAAAAATATACAATAAATATGCTAAGCGCACAGCTCCAATCTCTCATGACAATTCCACCAACTTTCTTAAACAAAAAATTTCCTGTTTTGTTGTTGTTAATGCACTCTCACAGTAGAAAATAATTTTCTATTTTTCATTGATAATATGATGTCAAGGCAAAATTAAGACACAAGTAATGTTACTTCATAAGGATTTCCCAAGAATTTGTAAATTATCACATTTGGTGCTCAACCTACTAGACCATAAAATATCAATGTTGCCAAAATAAAATGATTACAACGATTACAATGACAATAAAGACAATGACAGTGATGATAGGAATTCTTACCTGTACTGAGAGTTTTCTACATGTCAGGGACTGTGCTAAACACATATACATATCCCTGTTCCATCATTATAGGAACTTTATAAGGTATGTACTTTTATCTATCCCATTTTACAGATAAGGAAATTACTATAGTTTGAATGGATGTGTCTCTTCCAAAATTCATATGTTGGAACTTATACCCTAACACGATGGTATTAAGATATGGGGCCTTCTGGGAAGTGATTAAGTCATGAGGACTCTCCCTTCATGAATGGCATTAATGCCTTTATGAAAGAGGCTTAAGGGAGCTGCCTGCGCCTTCTCTATCTTCCACTACGTGAGCACACAGCATTAGTTTCTTTTGCCTGTCTTCTCTTATGCCATGTGAGGTTGCAGGACAAGGAGTTATATTGTAAGGAGAGGTGGACCCACACCAGATACCATGATTTTGGACTTCTCAGTCTCCAGAATTCTGAGAAATAAATTTCTGTTGTTTATAAATTACCCAGTTTATGATGTTGTATTATATAGCAGCAGGAAAGGACTAAGAGAAATTAAAGCTTAAAGAGGTGAATTTGACTTTACCCATTTAGTGTGTTGTAGAAGTGGTATTTAAACCAAGGACGGTAAATGTATGAGAGTCCAAGCATTTAACAACCAATGCCTTATAAGCAACAGTCAAAGTTGTGTAGAAGGATGTTCTTCAGCTCTTGCTAAAGAGGACAACATTCAGGTGGTACAGCACATCCTTGGCCATGCTTACCTCCTCAAGGAAAAAGCAATGAGAGTTGTATGTTGTTTATCTTTTTCAATAACCGAGGTCCTAACAAGGGCTCCAAGTTAACACCTAAGGGCCCCTGAGGTATGTCATTTGACTCTGTTCCACTCAGGCAATCATCAAGGCACCAAGGAAATGCCCACTCCCAGATATAGGTGACTACAGCAACTTGTCTGTCTTGAACACTGGAGGAAAGGTGAATGCACTGTGTCATGCCCATTACTCATTCATGGTTCTATATGCCATGACACACTGATTGAGATTTGCTCCAATTTACAGTAATTTAGTAACTGTCATTTACCTACCAGACGAATATGTTGATTATGTCAGTATCACAGACCCATACAAAGAAATTGCTGTATTCTATCAATTTGAATATGTGTCTTTTCTGAATCACTATAGCTCTCTCTTCCCTACAATACAATCAATCTTGATTATACATTGCCATATAGTTTTTACATGTACTTTTCTCTTTTAAAAAATATACTATAATTCCTTGAGTTTCAGGCCTGGGACCTCTAGATTTCTTTCACATTCCCCACAGTTCTGAGCAGTTGGGCCCAATAGCTCAGCATAATTTTGCTTGATGATCATTCTTCAAGCCTGTATTTTATGCTTCATCATTCATAGCCAAGGTGGAATTAATGCTTTGAGTTTTAATAGTAGGAATGAATGTATTCATATGTATATTTCTTTTTACTCAACCTGCCTTGAGACAACAACTCCCACTTTTCAGATGCTGGCCAGGAGGTGGAATGTACTTTCTTATAATAGAACACAGTAAAGTCCACCCACCTTCAGAAATTCAATCCCTTGATCAGGATGTAAAAGTAGCTATTATGTGTTTGGCGCTGTAATCGGTACTAAAGTTTATAAGAGAGAAGATAGATGCTGTTAGAAATCTGAAATCTCATTGGAGAGCTCTGTAGCACTTTAAAACAAACAAATTACCCACACTGTAGCAGAAAACATATGTAAAAGCTGTAGGATACATTATAAACATGCCAACATGGAGTAATATAAGACGATATGTACCTACTTAACTATTTCTGTGAGACACTACAGTCAAAGCTTGCAGCTTTGCCCCTAAACACATCATATTTGCTTGAACCCTTTTTATCTTTTCTATGGTAGCTTAATCACATTAGATCGGAGCTGACTGCTGGTTGACAAAAAGCTATGTCCCATCTTTTATTCAAACCAAGTAACATGATATCCCAGAATTAAAAGGTCCAAACACTTTTCTGTTGCTCTTTTTTTACGTACATATTTTCACTTTTGAAATATATATATAACTCAGTGGTTGGGAAACTAAAACCAGCAGTCCAAGTTCAGTCTGCTTCCTGTTTCTGTTAAAAAATTAAAAAAAGTTTTATTGGAATACAACCACACCCATTCATTGATGAAGTGTTGTTACTGCTTTCATGCTAGACAGTATTTTGGAGACCACATGGTCTGCAAAGCTTTAAAATATTTATCTTGTCCTTTATTTATAAAGCTTGCTGACAACTTTTTAAAATTAATATTTAGTTCAATAAAATGTAGTAATGTGTTTCTCAGACATTTACCATCTATATGTATCAACAAAACATCCTGAAGATTTTTTTTTTTTTTTTGAAACGAAGTCTCTCTCTGTCCCCCCAGGCTGGAGTGCAGTGGCACCGTCTTGGCTCAAGCAGTTCTCGTGCCTCAGCCATGTGCAAAACCACACTCAGCTATTTTTTTTTCATTTTATTTTTTTTAATAGAGATGGGGTTTCTTTTTGTTGGCCAGGCTGGTCTTGAACTCCTGACCTCAAGTGATCTGCCTGCCTTGGCCTACCAATGGGCTGGGATTACAGGCGTGAGCCACCACACCTGAAGACCATTTCCTTGAGTATGGATAGGGAGTCACAACCCCCAAATACAGTAGTCATTCAGAATTGTTTGCAATGTGTCATTTTCTATGAAGTATAAAGCATTTATTCTAGGTTATTTATATGCTATAGAAAGATTAGATAAAAACAACCAAAGGTGGTAGCTTTAGCATTTTCATAACCTTCATCAAGTTTACAAATAGCAAAATACTTTATTTCCTACTGTGGACGTGTGCTGGGTTAGGGTCTGAGGATATTGAAGTAAATAAAATATAGTTTGGTCTTTAATGTTTTCACACTCTAGTTGGAAGAGAGAAAATTATAGTAGAAAACAACATTTTTAGTGTGATAAAGGCCCTGTAGGAAAACAGCATATAAATGAGGAGGTAACCCCTCTGTCCAAGGGAATTGGGGAAGATCTGCATAAGACATGGTATTTGACCTGAATTCCAAATGATGGACAGTGATAATCAGGTAGGGAAGGTGGTCTAGGCAGAGAAAGGGGCACATTCAAAGGCAGAAACTTTAAAGGGTATACTTTATTGTGCTCAGTGAGGCTACATTTATGACACTGTTCAAAACATTAAATATCCTGTATGTCATAATTACTGTTGATAAAATCAGAGGAGAGATTGGAGAAAGAAGACCAGTATGTGAGGGACTAAGAAAAGTGAGAATTAGAAAAAGTATAATGTTGGAAAAGAGATAAAGGTTATTAAGTAGATTTCACAGAATTTCTTGACCCATTGCACATGTAAATTAGAGAGAGAGCAATCAATATTTGAGGCAATTAATTTAATACAATTGCAAAATGGTTCAAACTGTATGTACAAAAAATGGTTGCTTATGTTTACATAAAGGTTCAGCTGTAGAAAATGATAATAAAAATGAAGATACAGTCAGCCCTTTGTATCTCTGGGTTTTGCCTTCACTTTTTTTTTTTTTTTTCTTTTTGAGATGGAGTTTTGCTCTTGTCGCCCAGGCTGGAGTGCAGTGGCGCGATCTCTGCTCACTGCAACCTCTGCCTCCCAGGTTCAAGCGATTCTCCTGCCTCAGCCTCCCGAGTAGCTGGGATTACAGGTGCCTGCCACCACACCCAGCTAATTTTTATTTTGTATTTTTAGTAGAGACGGGGTTTCACCATGTTGGCCAGGCTGGTGTCGAACTCCTGGCCTCAGGTGATCCACCCGTCTCGGCCTTTCAAAGTGCTGGGATTACAGGCATGAGCCACCGCACCCAGCCTTGCCTCCACTGCTTTAATCACTGCATAACGAAAAGATTTGAGAACCAATCAAAACACAAATTTGAACACAATACAGTATTATAACTATTTGCACAGCGCTTACATCTTTTTGGTATTGTAAGTATTCTAGAGATTATTCAAAATATATGGGAAGTTGTGCAATGCTCACATGCACATGTTATGCCATTGCATATATAATGGACTTAATGATCTGTGAACTTTCTTATCGCTGGATCCAATCCTCTGCTGATACTGAGGAATGACTATATGTCAAGGGAAAAACTAGAAGGAAGAAATAAAGATAGCTTTTATATCAGGAACATAATGTGGTTCCCATTGGTACTGGGAAACTTCTGTTTGTGCCCCAGACACATTCTCCCCCACCCCCCGTTTTTACATCATACTCCGCCAGGGAACGCTGACATGTATGGATAATATCTGTGGGTTTAAGTGATCTTTGACACCTGGTGAGGTTTGGTCAATGGATATCCTCAGAGGGAGAGAAGAGAGTGAGCCACGATTCCCCTGCTTCTTCCCAGGTGAAGTTCTAGTAGGTCAGTTTTCTCTCTTAAGAGAAGGTTACTGTTCCTCTCTCAAAGAGGCTTTCTCTGGAAGCCTCTCTGCTTATGAATAGTGAAAAATATCCATTTTTTCTGCCTCTTTTGGCCAGAGGAGGTGACAGTTCTGCAATTCCTAGCTCTGTGTTTCTGCTCTTTCACTTTTTAGCCCTTTTATAAACCCTTGTTGAATTAGCTTAGTTTGAACGGATCAGCTGTTACTGTCGTAAAATTTAAGATTTCTTCATCTATTTAATAATAATTTATTCTCTACCTACTTTGTGCCAGTATTCTTCTGGGTGTTGGGGAGTCAGCCTGGAACTCAATGAAGTATCTGCTCCCACAGAGTTTATAGTCCATGAGGAAAAAGCAAAGAAGATGGAAAGGAAACTCAGGTATTTGGGCTTCTTTCTTTCCAAAGCTTTAATAAAATTACAGTAAAGAAATACAAAAGAAACATTTTATAAACAAGAGAGGGAGAGAAGACTATTAGGAGATAAGAGATTCCAATGAATTTTCAGAAGATAGAAATGAGATGGAAGCACAAGATGAATTATACTATACAAGAGACACAGATACAAGTTTATTAATATACATAAGGCCCACACAAACTTCTTGCAGGGCCTACATTATGTGAAACTTAGCAGTGTGATACAATCTGGACTGGGGATCACCAACCTTGGCCCAGGGATTTCCAGGAGACAAGGCCACCTCAATGCAGATGCAACATTCATAAACCTTAAAACAAAGCTTGCCCTTAATATTCTTACCTTTACCTAAAGCTATTCTTATAACTTACACTCCTTTTATAAAAGAAATACCTGGTAACTGACCCAGACTGAATACAGGTATAAATAAGGGGGAAGAAATCCCCAAACTTTGAGAATGATCCTCAGATGGATACCTTCCAGTCAACTGGTCATCTGAACCCTTGACTCTATCTGGACCATGACACCAGCCTGCTCCCGCTGTCCATCTTGTAAGAGCCCTGCCAGAATAAACTGCTTGAGCATCAGGCAGTGTCTAAGACATATTTGATGCAAATGAAAATAAATGGGAAAAAATTACTCCTGCAGAAGCTGGTTAACTAGGACCATCTGAGAGCCCTAAACAGGACACAAATAAAATTATAACTAAACAAAAATACAGAAAACATGGGCCATCAAAAAGGGTGAACCAATAAAAACAAAAACAAACAAACAAACAAACAAACACAAATAGGCATTCCTAGAAGAGAGAATAAAATAAATGCAAAGAAAACTTAGAAAATAAAAAAAATAGGTTGGCAAAAACCAAAATGAAGCATGAATCCCCAGACAGCCCAATGGTGACAATGTCCTTGTGCTGAGTAAGAATAAAAATCCCCACAGCTCAACATGGCATCTTAAATTTTGAGAATGCCAAGGATAAAGGCAAGCTCTCAAAAACTTCCAAGGAGGTGAAATCTACAGAGACAGATTCCTGACAAAGGAATGAGAATTGGCCTACAATCAATTGCCCTAGCATTACTGCATGGTTGTTGTCTAAGTCCTGTGACAGCGACTTTGAAAATAATATTGTATATACATTTAATCTGCCTATCAAGTGTAAGGACAAAATTTAGGTACATTCAGAAATTCAAAAACTGAAAAAGTTACGGCTCATGCACCTCCTCTGAAGAAATTGCTTGAATCTACTACACTAAGAAACTAGAGGATGAAAACCAAGAAACAGGAAGAAAACAGGATTTAATAAATGGAACTCATCTAGGAGTCAAGTGGCAAAAATTCCAAGATGACATCTCTATGGTAGGCTTAGAAAGTAATAACTGCAAATTAAGTTGAGAGTCAAATGTCTCTAAGATTGCTTTATTGAAGAAAACAACTGTAAGGAATTCCAATAATAGAGTGTAAATAAAAAGATGTAAGTTATTAGTGATGCTACAAAACAGGCTTTCCCACCAATCTTAAAATAGAAAGAGAAAACCAGTAAATTCAGGGGTGGGGGTAGCATGATGAAAAATAAAGTCATGGTTTAATTGTGAAACAAACCAAAACTTGTCATGATTGACTTTAATGCAAAAGTATCCATTTGACCTGAATCAGAAGTGCTTTCTGTGAAGTGCCACAAAAATTGTGAGATGAGACCTATGCAAAGTAGTGTGCAACCTTAGCACACTACTTTGTTGCATAGTGAACCATAGTTAGAGTCAAATTCATCTAACTACATGTTTTCAATTTAAAAAATAAGCACAGAAGCAATACATGGGCCACTTAAATATGGTTACAGAAATAAAAGTAAATGCCATTAACCCTGACAAATTAAAGGTAAAGGTGAGAGTAAAAGGAAGATAAGATACAAGAAGTGGATGGAAGTGTAGGTTCGCCAATCTCCTACCACTCATAGAAGAGAATTTGAAATCTTGACAAGTCAGGAAATAATCATATAATTCCATGTTTATGTCTGTTTTTTTATTCCAAAAGTAAACAAAAATACTAAATCAAAAATATTAAGTGAAAAATACTGTTAATAACATTATCTTTGTGATTTGAAGACAATTGATATTCTCTTAATAAAAAATTATAATAGGAGATAGTTTCTAATGGTAGGAATTATTAATCAGTAGAAGTAAAACAAGAAATAGTTAAAACAGTTAAATGTGTCAGATGCTAGTAGGTGGAGATAGAGACTGGGGAGAGGGATAGAGGAAAGCCAAATGGAATTATTATCTTGTGCATTTATTACTTTGATATTTTTAAAAAATAGAATACTATTTAATACGCTGTTGTATGTAGCCTATTAGGCAAAACTGAATTTGTACTATATGTGACCCTCTGTATTTTAAGGATATCTCAACCAATTATATTTTTGTACAAATAAAATTACAGGAGGAATCATCATGCTAAAACTCTAACATGATTTAATTCAAAAGAAATAAGATTAATCCCCAAAATGTGTTTTGACAAGTAGAGAATATTTAAAAATACAAACTACTTTGCACTAATGAAAATTATTGAGTAGGAAAATAAAATAATGATGAGAAACAGGAGAGGTGATGGGGCTTCAATAAAAAGGTATTACTCAGATGAGTAAACCGTGTTCATTTGATTTCCATCTTTTCCTAAAAGTTTGGAAGTTTAAAGCAGAGTCTTTCCCAAATTTATATTCCAATTTTAGGCACACATTACTGCCAATGGGTATATGAAGACATGCTCAGCATCACTAATCTTCAGGGCAATGTTTATCAAAACCACAACCTCACACCTTTTAGAATGGCTATTATCAAAAAGACAAGAAAAACAAATTTATTTTATTTTATTATTATTATACTTTAAGTTTTAGGGTACATGTGCACAATGTGCAGGTTAGCAAACCCACAGCCAATATCATACTGAATGGGCAAAAACTGGAAGCATTCCCTTTGAAAACTGGCACAAGACAGGGATGCCCTCTCTCACCACTCCTATTCAACATAGTGTTGGAAGTTCTGGCCAGGGCAATCAGGCAGGAGAAGGAAATAAAGGGTATTCAATTAGGAAAAGAGGAAGTCAAATTGTCCCTGTTTGCAGATGACATGACTGTATATCTAGAAAACCCCATTGTCTCAGCCCAAAATCTCCTTAAGCTGATAAGCAACTTCAGCAAAGTCTCAGGATACAAAATCAACGTACAAAAATCACAAGCATTCTTATACACCAATAACAGACAAACAGAGAACCAAATCATGAGTGAACTCCCATTCACAATTGCTTCAAAGAGAATAAAATACCAAGGAATCCAACTTACAAGGGATGTGAAGGACCTCTTCAAGGAGAACTACAAACCACTGCTCAATGAAATAAAAGAGGATACAAACAAATGGAAGAACATTCCATGCTCATGGGTAGGAAGAATCAATATCGTGAAAATGGCCATACTGCCCAAGGTAATTTATAGATTCAATGCCATCCCCATCAAGCTACCAATGACTTTCTTCACATAATTGGAAAAAACTACTTTAAAGTTCATATGGAACCAAAAAAGAGCCTCCATCGCCAAATCAATCCTAAGCCAAAAGAACAAAGCTGGAGGCATCATGCTACCTGACTTCAAACTATACTACAAGGCTACAGTAACCAAAACAGCATGGTACTGGTACCAAAACAGAGATATAGATCAATAGAACAGAACAGAGCCCTCAGAAATAACGCCGCATATCTACACCTATCTGATCTTTGACAAACCTGAGAAAAACAAGCAATGGGGAAAGGATTCCCTATTTAATAAATGGTGCTGGGAAAACTGGCTAGCCATATGTAGAAAGCTGAAACTGGATCCCTTCCTTACACCTTATACAAAAATGAATTCAAGATGGATTAAAGACTTAAACGTTAGACCTAAAACCATAAAAACCCTAGAAGAAAACATAGGCATTACCATTCAGGACATAGGCATGGGAAAAACAAATGTTGATGAAGATATGGAGAAAAGATAATCTTTGCACATTGTTGGTGATAATGTAAATAGTTACAGCCTATGGAAAACAGTTTGAGTTTTCCTCAAAAAATTAAAAATAGAATTACCATATGATTCAGTAATTTCTTTCAAGGGTATATATCCAAAGGAAATAAAGTCAGTATCTCAAAAAGACATCTGCCCTCCCATATTTGTTGCAATATTATTCACAACAGCCTAGATAGAGGACCAGTGTGGTGTTGATGGATAAATGGATGAAGAAATGTTTATACATATATATGTGTGTGTGTGTATATATATATATATATATATATACGTGTGTATTATACGTGTGTGTATATATATATGTGTCTGTATATACATTATATATTATATATAAATAAAATTTATATATATTAAATTATATAAAATTTTATATGTATATATAAATTTTAATATATATAATTTATATATAAATTATATATATATAATTATATAAATTATATATATATAATTTATATATATATAAATTATATATATATATATATATATATATAAATTCTGTCACTTGCAACAACGTGGATGAATCTGAAGGACATTATGCTAAATTATGCTAAGTGAAATAAGCCAGACACAGAAAGACAAATACTGCATGATTTCACTTATATGTAGAATCAAAAAAAGTCAAATGCATGGAAGCAGAAAGTACAAAAGTGGTTGTCAAGGCTTTGGGAATGGGGAAATGGGGAGATGTTGGTCAAAGAGTAAACACTCTCAGATACAAAGTGAATAAGTTCTGGGGATCTAAAATATCGCATGGTACTTATAGTCAGTAATTTTGTATTGCTTACTTGCAATTGGCTAAGAGAGTAGATCTTTTTTTTTTTTTTTTTTTTTTTTTTTTTTTTTTGAGATGGAGTTTCACTCTGTTGCCCAGGCTGGAGTACAATGGTGCAATCTCGGCTCACCGCAACCTCCGCCTCCCGGGTTCATGCGATTCTCCTGCCTCAGCCTCCTGAGTAGCTGGGATCACAGGCGTGCACCACCATGCCTGGCTAATTTTGTATTTTTAGTAGAGATGGGGTTTCTGCATGGTGGTCAGGCTGGTCTCGAACTCCCCATCTCAAATGATCCGCCCACCTCGGCCTCCTAAAGTGCTGGGATTACAGGCATGAGCCACCGTGCCCGGCCCGAGAGTAGATCGTAAGTCACTTTACCACATACACAAACAATAACAACTAAATGTGATGACAGATGTGTTAATTTGGTTGTGGGAATTGTTGCAAAATGTATATCAAATCAAGTTTCATGCATTAAATATGAATACCTTTTTGCTAATTATGCCTAAATAAAGCTGGGAAAAATTGGTTGGTGAGTACATGTAGTTCAGCTGTATCATTTTGTGTACTTTCAGTGTACTTAAAACACTTGAACATTAAAAATAAAATAATGGGCTTGGTGCGGTGGCTCACGCCTATAATCCCAGCAATTTGGGAGGCCGAGGCGGGCAGATCACCTGAGGTTGGGAGTTTGAGATCAGCCTGACCAACATGGAGAAACCCTGTCTCTACTAAAACTACAAAATTAGCCGGGTGTGGTGGCACATGCCTGTAATCTCAGCTACTCGGGAGGCTGAGGCAGAAGAATTGCTTGAACCCGGGAGGCGGAGGTTGCAGTGAGCCAAGGTCGTGCCATTGCACTCCAGCCTGGGCAACAAGAGTGAAACTCCATCTCAAAAAATAAAAAATAAAATAAAATAATAGGCATGCCCCATAAATGGTGGGCAAACGACATGAACAGACACTTTTCAAAAGAATACATACATGTGGCAACAATCATAGGTAAAAAAATCTCAACATCATTGATCATTAGAAAAGTGAAAATCAAAACCACAATAAGATACCATCTCACACCAGTCAGAACGGCCATTACAAAAAAGCCAAAAAATAACAAATGATGGCAAGGTTGTAGAAGAAAAAGGAACGCTTATATATTGTTGGTGGGGGTGTAAATTAGTTCAATTGTTGTGGAAGACAGTGTGGAGATGCCCCAAAGACTTAAAGACAGTAATACCATTGACACATATATCCCATCACTGGGTATATACCCAAAGGAATATAAATCATTCTGTTATAAAGACACACAGATGCATATGTTCATTGCAGCCCTATTCACCATACTAGACACATGGAATCAACCCAAATCCCCATCAATGATAGACTAAAGAAAATGTGGTACGTATACACCATGGAATACTATGTAGCCAGAAAAAAGAACAAGATCATGTCTTTGTAGGAACATGTATGGAGCTCGAGGCCATTATCCTTAGCAAACTAATGCAGGAACAGAAACCCAAATACCGCATGTTCTCACTTGTAAGTGGAACTAAATGATGAGAACACACGATTACATAGATGGGAACAATGTACACCGGTGCCTATCGGTGGGTGGAAGGTGGGAGGAGTGAGAGGACCAGGAATAATAACTAAAGGATACTAGGCTTAATACCTGGGTGATGAAATAAACTGTACAACAAATGCCCATGGCACAAGTTTTCCTGGGTAAAAAACCTTTACTTGTATCCCCGAACTTACAATAAGTTTTTTAAAAGGGCTGTGATGCATTCTTCAGCATGCCAATTGCATTTTTCAGCTCCAGAATTTGTGCATGACACTTTGTAATTATTTCCATCTCTGTTAAATTTATCTGATGGAATTCTGAATTCCTTTTCTGTGTCATCTTCAATTTCTTTTAGTTTCCCCAACATAGCTATTTTGAATACTGTATCTGAAAAGTCTCATATCTCTGTTACTCCAGGATTAATCTCTGGTTCCTTGTTTAGTTCATTTTTTGAGATCTTGTTTTCCTTCATGGTCTTGATACTTGTAAATGTTCTTCTGTGCCTGGGCATTGAAGAGTTATGTATTTACTGTAGTCTTTGAAGTCTGGCCTTGTTTGTACTCATCCTTCTTGCGAAGGCTTTCAAATATTCAAAATATGGTAGATGTTGTTACCTAAAGTTTATCTGTTTTAGGGGCATGCCAAGCCCAGTAATGCTGTGGTTCTTGCAGACTCCTAGTGGTAGCACCTTAATGGTCTTGGACAAAATTGGGGAGGATTTTCTGGATTACCAGGCATAGACACTTATTCTCTTCCCTTACTTTGTCCCAGACAGAGTCTCTCTCTGTGTTCTTAGGCCCTTGGAGCTTCAGATTGAGTGACACAACCATGCCTGTGGCCACCATCACTAGGATTGTGCTGGGTCAGACCTGAAACCAGCACGGCACTGGGTCTGCTGTAACCACTCCCTGGCTACCACCTATGTTTTCTCAAGGCCCTGAGCCTCTACTGTTAGCAACTGGCAAAGCCAGCCAGGCCTGTGTCCTTCCCCTTAGGGCATCAGGTTTCCCTCAGCTCTGGGCAGGTCTAGAGGTCCTATCCAGGAGCTAGGCACTAGAGTCAGAAACCTTAGAAGTCTACCCATTGTTCTGTTGTATTGTGGATCACCTGGCATTCAAACCACAAGATGCGGACTTTCCTACTCTCTCCTGCCCTTTCTGAAGTCAAGGGAGCCTGATCCCAAAGCCAACACCATCATAGGCCCATGGGGAGTACTGCCAATATTCCTGAAGTCCAAAGGGCTCTTCGGTCGGCATGTAGTGGTGAATATTGCCTGAGGTTGGATTCACCCTTCAGGACAATGTGCTCCTCTCTGGCCAAGGGCAGGTCCACAAATGCCTTCCAAGAGCCAAGTCATAGAATCAGGGACTCCAGGAGCCCACTTGGTCCTCTATGCGCCTGTGGCTGAGTTGGTATCTAAGGTGCAAGCCAAAGTCTCCTTTACTTTTCCCTCTGCTTTTCTGAAGCAGAAGGAGTCTCACCTTTTATCCAGCACTGCTGAGAATATGTTAAATCTCATCTGAAACTAGCAAGTCTGAGAGTCTCACACAAAGCCCTTGATGTAGTACCTGGGTATTGCTGCTGCTGGGTATTCAAGGACCAAAGGCACTTCAGTTAGCATTTGATGTATGCTGCCAGGACTGTCTTTCCCTTCAAGGCAATAGGTTGCCACCTGGCCTGGGGTGTGTCTAGAAATTTCCTCTGGGGGCTATGGCCTGGAAAGGGGGCCTCATGACTCCGATAGGTTCCCTATCCTCCTGTGGCTGAGCTGGTTTCCAAGATGTAAGACAAAGTCCTCCCCACTCTTTCCTCTCCTCTCCTCTCCTCTCCTTAAGTGGAAGGAATGAGTCTCTTTTGGAGTCAAGAGCTGTGCAGAAGGAGTCTAGGGGTAGGGGATAGGTGATGCCAGCAAGCCCTTAGCAATCCAGGCTGGTGTCTCAGCAGGTCATATTCCCTCCTAGTCCTCTGGCTCTGGGGGCCAGTTCAGCACTAGGACTCGTCTAGAAGTTGCAGTCCTTGTGGCACAGATTGACTTTCAACTTTATTTATAGGTCCAGAGCGCTTTAGCCCATGGTGGCAAGTCTTGCAGGAACTCAAGTTCCAACTTCTTGGATCAGTGCTTCCCCTAAAAAGGGCTGTTTTAAATGCTCCCTTTGTGGATGGGCATCAGCTGAGCTTGGACTGATTTTGCTTTCTGCTATAACAGGGCAGCACTGAGTTCAATGCCTCACAATTGCTGCACTCTCCCTCTCACCAGTGCACAGAAATGCCCTCCACGCCACACGGCTACAGCAGGGGGTTGGAAGAGGGGTGGCATTGGCAATTCAAGACCGCTTTTCCTACCTCTTCAGTGCCTCTTTCATTGATTTTAATAAGACTAGGTACTGTGAGTGCTCACCTGATTTTTGGTTCTTTTGTTTTTTATTTTTAGGGCCTGCATGGTTCCCTTATGATTTTTCGTTCTTATGAGTGTGATTTTTTTGTGTGTAGATGGTTGTTAAACTGGTTTCCTTGAAGGGGATGGGGATAACCAGGGTAAGTCTTCTATTTTGCCATCTTGCTAAACTACAGCTCTTAATGGATTAAATGATAATATTTCCTTACATAGCCAGAGATTTTAGAATTTTGAGTGATTTATGATGTTACATTAACATTACTGTATCTGTATCTCTCATTTTCTCTGTTATTTTCAATACAGGCTATGATATTTGTTTGTAAGTTCTTATACAAATTCATGAGGGTTTGTCAATAAATCCAGTAGCTCTGATTACAATAAATTATTTCCAATAAGCTGTAAATACTCACTGGAAAAAAATACCTAGTAGGGTTTAACTGTGAATATGATAGTGAACATTAGGGCCCCTCAGATAATAAGCATGGCACCCACTAGGTAGTTTTGTTTTTATTCTCTCCCACCTCCCACCCTCCACCCTCATATAGGCCCTGGTGTCTGCTGTTCCCTTCTCTGTGACCATCTGTACTCGATATTTTGTTCCCACTTATAAGAAAGAACATGTGATATCTGATTTTCTGCTCCTTTATTAGTTTTTTAGGATAATGGCCTCCAGCTCCATTTATGTTGCTACAAAGGACATGATCTTATTCTTTCTTATGGCCGCATAGTACTCCACAGTGTATATGCACATTTTCTTTATTTAGTCTATTGTTGGGCATTTAGTTTAATTCCATGTCTTTCCTATTAAGTTTAGCCCAAGTTCTTCACCACTGCCTTTATCATTGCCCTTTTCACAACTCAAACTTTGAATATTTCTTGTCTGGTGAGACTGAAATAGCCTCTGAAGCTGCTTCTTGTCTCTAGTTTTACAGCACTGACATTAATCCTCCTATTGCTCTCTGTAAGACATCTGATGGTGTCACCTTCTGCCACAAATTATTTGACGATTCCTATTCTGATTATCTATTGCTTTTTAAAAAAATACTGCAATATCTGGCAGCTTAAAGCCATTTTAGTTGCTCACGATTTTGTGGGTAAGGAATTTAGAAAACGCTCAATTGGGTGGTTCATCTCTGGTACACTGATGTATTGGCAGCAGCTGGGGCAGCTGGGGCTGCAGGCTCCATTTCCAAGATGTCTTTTTAAATAATGTTTGACCTTTCAGTGTTTCTTGCTCTGCTTGCCTTTCTCTGTCTGTTTCTATGCCTCCGACTCTCTCTCCATGGCATATCAACTTTCAGTACTCTCTACATATCTTGGGTTTTTTACAGCATGGCGGTCTCATGGTGGGCATAGTTATTACAAGACACCGACATTTCAAGAGTAAAGAGTCCAAAAGACAAAAAGTGTATGGTTTTAGAATCTTAAAACCAGGGCCCACAAACTGGAACAGTATCACTGCTACCATATACTATTGCTAAAAGCAGTCACAGTGCTTTCCTTATTTCAAGGGGATGCTAGACCTCAAATCTTTACGGGAGAAATTTCCAATAATGTGTGGCAATCTTTAATCCAACACAACTTTCTAATGCTTTCAATATAAAGTTCATTCTCCACACACTATTCATCATTGGGCCATTGCCTATCTTTCCAGCATCAATTCATGCAACATCCATCAAACTAATCTTCACTGGTCTCCACAAACACACACATATATTCCAATAATAGTCTCTCTAATGCTCCAGGTTCTCCCAGCCTTTCATATGTATTTAGACTTCTATGTTCCACTGAAGACAACAAAGAGCTAATAATCACTCCATCACCAGAGTCAATGTTGTTGAGGAATGAACTATATTCAATTTTAACTTTAGAACTATGTAGAAACGAAATGAAATTTCCAAATGAAAGCACTTTTAAATCAGAAAAGTTTAAGATATAAATATCAGCATCCAAAATAGCAACGTGTTCCAGCTATTTCATAGACTTTTAAAAGACATAGACTTTTAAAAGCTCATATCTTTTATGTACAGGTAGGATGTCTTTTTGGTGTCATTTTTACAGTTAGTATGAACATGTGCATCTTCCAAATACACAGCCATGCAGTGTCAGAGCAAGTCACCATAAAACGTCACCAAGCAGCAGCAGCAGAAAGAGAGAGACCTCTGAATTTAAAGTATGCCTTTTGGCCGGGTGCAGTGGCTCACGCCTGGAATCCCAGCACTTTGGGAGGCCGAGGTGGGCGGATCGCGAGGTCAGGAGATCGAGACCATGCTGGCTAACACAGTGAAACCCCATCTCTACTAAAAACACACACACACACAAAATTAGCCGGGCATGGTGGCGGGTGCCTGTAGTCCCAGCTACTCGGGAGGCTGAGGCAGGAGAATGGTGTGAACCCGGGAGGCAGAGCTTGCAGTGAGCTGAGATCGCGCCACTGCACTCCAGCCCTGGGTGACAGAGCGAGACTCCGTCTCAAAAAATAAATAAATAAAAAAAATAAAGTATGCCTTTCATGAGCTACAAAGATGATGAGTTTGTACAACACTTTATGCTCTGTTATCACGTAAATTTTAGCCTTCCCAAATATGAAAACCTGCCATGGAATCTTCAATATTATGTATACAAATACTAGCCCATACACTACACCTTATTTGCCTTTATCATGGTCTACATTGAAAGAGAGTAAAAAGTCTCCTATACAACCCTAACATGTATAAGAATAACTTGATGGTAGAATAAAAAGTTCCTGAAGACTATAAAAACTTATGGTGTAGATTTATGATTTCATATGAATCCTCATGCACTCCTAAGGGACATTAACCAGAACAACAAAAACCTTTTCTGTTTATGAGATTTCATGTTTCAAAGATTCTATCTCAAGGAATTTCTCTCTGCTGTGAAAATACCTATACAGTCACACATATACACTACTGAATAGCAAATACCTACATGCCGATTATGCAGACAAATCTGAACTCGATTTGTCCCCAAGATGTCCCAAACACTCTTCTCAGGGTATCTGACTCCAATGAAATAGGACTGTGTCTCAAATTCAGATTTTGAAAGGTATCTTCTTTAATTATCTTCACAACTTCAGGCATAGATAATACAACTAATTTTAAAAATACAAGTCAATATTCGTGGAATCAGAATGTCAAAAATCCTTAGCACTGACCTAATACGCCTCATAACTTTTGCAAAGATTACTGAATTCTTCCATCCACTCAATAAAAAGGAGAATCAGGATAGTGATCTATTTTAATGTGCTCTCCTGATGCATAAGAAGGTTGGTGAACTACACCTTTTACAATTATCAAGCCCTGCAGTCAGAACAAGTTCGAATCCAACTTTTACTGCTTATTGGCTAAGTAAAAGCATGTAAGATTTTGAAATTCTCTTTATCATGGTCTCTCAACTATAAAACATAGATCATAATATTATGTCAGGATTAAATTATGTGTGTCTTCATCATCATGCTATTCAGAATAGCAAAAACATGAAACCAACCTAGGTGCCCATCAATCATAGACTGGATAAAGAAAATGTGGTGGCCAGGCACGGTGGCCCATCCCTGTAATCCCAGCACTTTGGGATGCCAAGGCGGGTGGATCACGAGGTCAGGAGTTCAAGACCAGCCTGACCAACATGGTGAAACCCCGTCTCTACTAAAAATGTAAAAATTAGTCCGGTGTGGTGGCACACACCTGTAATCCCAGCTACTCAGGAGGCTGAGGCAGAATGGTGTGAACCCAGGAGGTGGAGGTTGCAGTGAGCCAAGATTGCACCACTGTACTCTAGCCTGAGTGACAGAGAGAGACTCTGTCTCAAAAAAACAAAAAAACAAAAAAACAAAAAAAAATTGGTAAATAAATATACAACATGGAATACTATGCAGCCAGAAAAAAAAATGAAATCATGTCCTCTTCGACAACATAGATAGAGCTGGAGGTCATAATCCTAAGTGAATTAATGCAGGAACAGGAAACCAAATGCCACATGTTCCTACTTATAGGTGGCAGCTAAACATTGTGTACACATGGACATTAACATGGGAATAATAGACACTGTTGATACTAGAGAGAGGAGGCAGGCAGGGGAACATGGGTTGAAAAACTCCCTATTGGGTATTATGCTCACTACCAGGGTCCAATACACCCACTGAATAATGCTACACATCTATCGCTAGTATCTAAAAAGCTGAAACTTAAAAAGTAATTAGTGTATTCATTGTCTAGTGACTCTCAACCAACAGTAACTTTTTTATTAATAATCTTTATTTGGTGGTTATATTTTTTCAGACTCCATTTATTGTGTCTAATCTGAATTTTCTCAGAAAACACTAAGATAATTTATTTTAAAAATGTGTAGCCTTATTATATAAATGATACAATATACATGTTTCTAATATCTTAATTTTTCTGTAGGCATGGCAGGAACAATATCCACTCTGAATATGATATGATATGACTATAAGATGATATAAAGCACAAAAACCTATGCTCACAATAAACTAGTATGTTTTGCTTTTCCAAAGTAGGTTTCTTTTGATTCTCACTCCCAACATGAAACAAATTTTATTATTACTACTTTATAGATGAAGAAGCAGCCTCATAAATGTCGAGACTCAGTCATGATCTGATAGCTAGTATCAAAAATAATTCAGTTGTTCCAGTTCATGCTCATTCTATTCTGCCTTTCTGTTTTTGTCTCTTCCAGCACAATTAGCTATATGGTCACTCACCATTCCTGCTCTCTTTCCACAAGATAAGAGTTTTTGTGGGGAGAAGGCTGTTAAACAAGGGATTACAATTTGTACCCTCCTTATCATGAGAGGCCACGTGCCTTGTTCTGCCTTGCTAAATGTTAATAATGTAATGTGTATCCCTCTTGAGAAAAGGGAAACTAGAGACTTCTTGATGCTGCTAGTCTTCACCAGCAGCTTTGAGGCCTTGTTAAGGAAGGCAGCGTTATGAAACAGATGAGTAAAAACTCCATTAACAGACTGCATGAAGCCAGAATGAACGCTATACTCACTACTTGAATTCTAGTTGAGACCATATGTTCTATGTCCATACTTTAAAGGGTATACAGTTTGTGAAGAGTTAGAAAACCAGGGAATTCCAAAAGGTAAGTACTATAACATGTAATTGAACACAGATGAACATAGAAGGAGCACAGATAATGATGGTGAACTCTAACTCGGAGTCTAGAAAAGGCTATATAATGTAAAAGATATTTAAAGTGATCCTTAAGAAATAATCAGACTTTGCCAGTTAGAGAAAGAAACAGACATTCAGTGAAAGAATACTCTCTCCTGTGCCAGCAGACTAAATGAACTCTCCAATGATGTGATAGTCTTATTTTTAGTATTGTCTTCTATTTGAACACTATTCCAGTTATCTACTGATGTGTGAAGAAAACACAACTGCCAAATCCAGCGGCTTAAAAAATAATCATTAATTAGTTCATGACTCTACAATTTAAGCAGAGCTTGATGAAGAAGGCTGAGTTCTGCTCTGTGTGGCAGTAGCAGAGGGGGCTTAACCAATGGGTAGTAGAGTGAAAGAATCATTTAATATGGCTTACTTACAGGGATTACAAGTTTGTACTGGCTGTTGACTTGGTTCACAGCCTGGGATGAAGACTTTGATTTCTCATCACATGGGCCTTTCCATGTCCCCTATGATTTCTCAGAGCATAATTCTCTCTAAGGCCAAGGGTACCAAGAGAGAGAAATAGGTGGGTTGTATCATCTTTTATGACCTATCCTGGAAAGTCAGAGTGCCGCTTTTGCCATAGTCTTTTAGTTTGGATAGTTACAAAGGCCCATACAAATTCAAGAGAAGGGGACATAAACTGCATGTCTGGAGAGATGAGTGTAAAGGTGCTAGAAAATATAATCTGATAGAAACACCACAGAATGAGAAAAATCTAAGGATGAAAAGATGAGTTAGTATCTACCTGAAAAATCTATTCTAATCCCAAGATGTCATGCCAAATTCACAAAAGAAAGCTTAGGTTGTGCTTCTACTTGACTGTTCAGAATTTCAAGTTTGTTTCATATTACCTTTCACATAAAGTGCTTGAGGTTGACAATATCTGATATAGCACTGGAAGCTATTGATCTAGGCTTTCCAGTTTGATTTGAAGTGTGGCCAGCTGCATTGAGAAAGTTGTGGTTGATGGTTCTCAGTTTCCAAGAGGACAAAGTAAATATAATCGCTTAACAGATGTGTCATGTTACATTTGAGAGAATTATAGAGTGAGGCAGTTATAAGACTGTTGGATAGCTTACTAAAATGGGATCACTTCAGACACCTTCAAGAAAATGTATAATCTCGTTTGCTGAATTGTTTCAACTCTAATCTAAATTAGAATCAAATAGCGGATTCAATGACTTTGATCTTCTTAGAGATTCATCTTTTACACTTTGATTGGTTAAGTTTTATGTGCACACTCCACATTCTATAGATTTAAGGTTTAACATGACCTACTCTCCTGCCTCCAGGGTGTATAGTTTAGGAACAGCAGGAAACCATATAATTGTAAGATAATGTGATAAGCATTATAGCATAGAAATGAACACTGTTAAAGGAAATGGAAAAAAAGAAAAGGCAGTAAGCTCTGGAGTTTTAGAAAAGGCCCCAAAAGAAAGACATTTAACGTGACCCTTTAAGAATAAATGGAATTTTTCAGGTAGAGAAGAGATATGAAAACTTAGTATAGCAGCAGACATATGACACAAGCTCTGTGCTGCATTTGAATTTGTGTGATAACCAGCTAAACATAAGGTAATTTTATTTTTTATTTATGTATACATTTAAAATAATAATGAATCTATTACATGTTAACATAAACATATCTCTATGAAAAAACTGCTATATCTCTAAGACAAAATGGAATTAGTAACATTGTTTTCCATATTTTCAAATTTCTTAATCATCTGGCTTAATTGAAGACAAACAGATACTCATCTCTGCTTCTGTACCTAATTCATTGCAATGTGCTGCTTCGGTTGAGTTCTGTGAAGAAAATACATATCCTCACACAGTAGTTTCAGTACAGGAATTTTTTTTTGTTTTTTGTTTTTTAACCTTTTATTTATCTATTAAATTGTATTCTTTATTTCAATAGTTTTGGGGGTACAGGTGGTTTTTGTTACATGGATTAGTTCTATAGTGGTGAACCGAGATTTTAGTGCACTCATTGCCTGAGTAGTGTACACTGTACCCAATATGTAGTCTTTTATCCCTTACCTCCTTCCCAATCTCCCCTACCCTGTCTCCAAAGTCCATTAGATCCCTCTGTATGTCTTCGTTTCCTCACACCTCAGCTCCCACTTATATGTGAGAACATACAATATTTGGTTTCTCATGCCTGTAACTTCCTTAGAATAATGGGCTACAGCTCCATCCAAGTTGTTGCAAAAGATATTATTTTATTCCTTTTTATGGCTGAGTAGTAGTTTCCTTGGTACCTATATACCACATTTTTTTAATCTACTCGTTGGTCGATAGACACTTAGGTTGGTTCTATATCTTTGCAATTGTGAATTGTGTTTCTATAAACATGTGTGTGCAGGTGTCTTTTTCATATAATGACTTCTTTCAGAAAAGTATTTTAATGATGTTTTCAGATAGTTTTGGAAATTATTTGACACTGCACTAAAACTCAGCAAGTGGTAGTTTCTTAGGTTTAGTTGCAATGTAAAATTGGAAACCATATTGACATTAAACATTTTTATGATTTTAATGATTAAAATAATCAAAATCCACTAGTCTATCTTGCATGGCTTAATTTTTATTGTATATATTACAGGTGTACAACATGATGCTCTGATATACATATTGAAATGTATACATAATGAAATGACATATACTATAATCAAGCAAATTAACATATCCATAACTTTATACAGTTACCTATTTTTAGTAGTAAGAGCACCTAAAATCTATGCCATTAGCAAAATTTCAGTATACCTTTTTTTAGTACAGTTCTTATGAAATGGCATACTGGTATATGAAAATTGATTCATCAAGTAAATGCAAATAAAAAACACAATGAGATATCAACCCACACCTGTTAGAATGGCTAAAATCAGACAGAAAAAAAAATATGTGTTGGTGGAGATATGGAGAAAAGGAAACCCTTGTATACTGTTTGTGGTGATGCAAGTAGGTACAGAAATTATGGAAAACAGTATGAAGGAAGGTTCTCTGAAAATTAAATATAGAAATACCACATCACCCAGAAATCCCTCTTCTGGGTATATATCTAAATGAAAGGAAGTCAGCACCTCATAGAGATAACTGTGCTCATGATAATTTCAGCATTATTCAAAATAGCCAAGATAAAGAAACAACTTAAGTGTCCATCGATGTATAAATGGACAAAGAAACTGTGGTGTGTGTGTATATGTATACATATAAATGTATAATAAAATATTATTTAGCCTTAAGGAGATACTGCCATTTGTGACAACATGGATGAGCCTAGGAATCATTATACTCCGTAAAATAAGTGAGACACAGAAAAATACTGCATCATGCCACTTATATGTGAAATCTAAAAGTTGAAGGAATAGAAAGAAAGTAGAACCGTTGTTACAGGGACAGGGAGGGGGAGAAAATGGGGATATGTAGGCCATATGGAACAAACTTGCAGTTATATAGGATGACTAAGTCTAGAGGGCTAATGTATAGCATGAAGCAGTTTTATTATTATCATTATTTATTAAATAGCAAAAAAGAATCCTTAGCCATGAGATTCTGGAATACCAACAGCTTTCCAGCACAGAGACCTTGTTTTATATGAGTCCTCTCTGTTGTCTTTTACATAAAAGGAAGTAAATGCCGCGTGGTGAAATCAATGATGGTCAGGAGGAAATGCAGGTTCACAACTTTAAGTGAACTGAACTGTGGAAATGAAATTTCATCAGGTGGCCAGAGAAAAAAAGCGGAGCCATGAAGAGAGAGATACTTTTCAGTCCCTGACAACGTGTTATCAAAAGAAAACACATTGTCAATCATGTTGTCAGGAACAAAACTTCTAGACAAAGGAAAAATGTACAGAGAAGTAAATGCATATTGACTGGAACTCATCCTCAGACATGTGTAACAGACACACAGATTGACATGTGTAAGACACATAGATCTATATATACAAGCAGTTATTGGTTAACATTTATTTTCTCTTAGATGTTTAAAAATGGGAAACAGATGATACCTGATGAAGTTCTCACTACGGTGTTAAAATTGTGTAATGTAAAGAATAAAAGCACATGGCTCAGACTAATAGTTCTAAAATTTGAAAGGGTATCAGAATACCCTGGAAAGCTTGTTAAAACGAAGACTCTGGGTCTCACTCCTGGAGTTTCTATTCAGCAGGTCTGGTGTGAAACCCAAGAATGTGCATTTTTTTTTAAAGTTCCCAGGAAGTGTTGATGCTGCCTGAATTGTAATCCTAAATTGGAATCTTGCCTCTATCACTTAACAGTTATTAATCTTTGGGAAAGTTAACTTCTCTCTGTCTCATTTTCTCATTTGTAAACTAGAGATATAACACAGTGTTGAGGGGCTCCACCCATATACTCCCAGCACTCACCTTTCCAATTCATGCTGCTGGAGTCCCACTGCAAAAACCTGCCACTGTCCGCCTAAGGACCTATGTTAGGTGCATCCACAGGGCTGACCGAAAGTGCTAGCAAGTTAGTGTGCAAAGAGAAGCCCTCAGCCAATGAGGGAGAGAAGCTAGAAAATAATGCTGCTGCCTGCTGTCTCTCAGGTGGGAGGAGTCTTAGGCATGTTCTCACCAGTGGTTCTCAAAATGTGGTCTCCAGACCATCACCTAGGAACTCGTTAGAAAAATTGCAAATTCTTTGAACCTAAGATACATTGACTCAGACTCTGAGGATGAGCCCCAGAAATAGAGTTTAACAAACTCTCCAGGTGATTCTGATACACAACAAAGTTAAGAACCACTGCTCTATACCATCTCCCAGAGAATACCAGCAGGATTGAGTCCAAGATGCCCTGAGCAGCAACCTGCTTATTAAAATATCCTGTATTCTCTTTCATTCCTTTACAACCTAACCTCTCCAAGTCTCTTATTGGTACTTTCTAGTGTTGCCTCACTTACACAAACACACACAAATAATAAAACGCACATACTCAAATCCTCAACTCAGTCTCTGCTTCTGTGGGAATCTATTCTATAAGAAAAGATATTAACAGTGCCCATGTGTCATAGGGAAATGATGAAAACTACATGTTATAATTCACAAAAGGGCTTCAAACAGTCCCTGGCACATGTTTAGATGGTAAAGAAAAGTTACATTTGTGATTATTATTATTATTAATGGAAATATTAATGTACAAATGTAAACAAATTTAACATTTGAATGTTCTAACCAAAATGAAAAAAATAAAATAAACATTGTTTTCCATTTTTGCAAGTCAGACAGCACTACAATTTTATAATACAATCTTATCAGGTTCTTTTTCCATAATAATTTTCACCTTTCCTATGTATAAAATCTGTTGTAGTTCAATTAACTCTCCGTACACTTTTGTCACTGCTGACATTCTGTGACTTAATAATTGTTGTCACTTTAATGGGGATATCCCTCCTTAAACATTCATCCTGTATAAACTTGTAAACTCAGGTCCACCACAGTGTATTTAAAAATGTGTTTGAAGTGGGAAGCTGTCATTCCATTACTGAGGTATTACTAAGAAATACAGCCCAGGGCAATATCTGTGGCTTCCTAATACAACTGATATTTGGGTAATTTGACATGATTATAAATGATAATTACCTGGTAAGTAAGCCCCATAGTAGTAATATCTTCTTTTCTTACAAAAAAGTGCTTTCTTATCAGCTCTGGTTTGAAGTTCCACACAGATGTTTTTCAAAATGGAGATTCACTAGTGGGAATCGTCTTCAGCAGGGGTCTAGCATCTATTTAATCAACACAGATGATTTTAAAAATGCGCTGAATCCACCCAGTGAGCGTATCTCCAGAAATGGGTTTCAGAATTTAGCAGCTTAAATACTATGGGATATACTGAGTATTGAAGATTTTATTTAAATTTTTAAAAATAGTACAATAAACTCATGTATCCCTTCAACCTAAGTTCATCAAATGTTAACATTTTGTCAAATTGGCTTCATCTCCTCTTTATTAAATATACACATTCACAAACGCAAACACACATACATACACAATTGATGTTGCTGAATATTTGAGATTTAAGACATCAGGATCGTTTACTTCTAAATTCTTCAAAATTTAACTTCTAACAATGGGGCATTTTTTTCCTTTTTGAAACAGATATTTTGTAACAGCTTTTGGTATTATAAAATTCATAACTAAAGCACATGCCTATGCATAAAATTAGAAATAAAACTATATAAACTTTAAACTGTATTATTACAGAAAATATTAGGAGAGTTAATATAACAGAAAAATAAAAGAAGAGTCATCTACACTGGATATCAAAATGAAGACATCCTATAGTATGTTATCACCATCTGTACATTTTCAAAATACTGAATCCTTAATTCCTAAGAACCACAAGAGACCTGGACTAGCTAAAGCTATCTTGAACAAGAACAAACGTGAACACATCAGATTTTCTGACTTCAAATAAAATTACAAAGCCTTAGTAGTCACAACAGTGTGGTACCAAAATGAAAACAGATACATAGACCAATGGAACAGAAGAGCTCAGAAATAAAGCCCAAAATATATGGTCAAATAATCTGTGACACAGGCACCAAGAATACGCAATAGGGAAGGGATAGTCTCTTTCACAAACATTTATGGAAAAACTGGATATCCACATGCAAAAAGAATGAAATTAGACCTTTATCTCACACAATATACAAAAATTAACTCAAAATGGGTTAAATATTTAAACCTAAGGCCTGAAACTACAAAATGATGAGAAAACATTGATATATTTCTGAACAAAACAAAATACAAGCTTTCCTGACAGTACACAGGCATTGAAATACTGGAAATTCAGGAGTTAAAATAGTGCAAAAGTGCTTTGCATTGATTTATAAAATACAGTGTCTATACTCTGACATACGTAAACAAGTTTCCCTCCTACAGGAATATTTCAGGGCATTGTAAAGTTGTGTGTAATGGAGGGATAGGTCTCTGCTGTTTAAGACTCAGTAATGCATAACAGGATATCTACCATAGCTTGCTTTGACTTCTTTCATACCCAGTAATTTCCTAGACACCTTGTCAGGAATTACAACTCTCACTGAGATTAAATGATTTAAACAAAGCAGAGAAAATACGAAACACTGTTTACAGGTATAATGCATTAATTTTTGTTAATGACTATTCTGATTTATTTATTTATTTATTTTATTTATGATGGAGTCTTGCTCTGTCACCCAGGCTGGAGTGCAGTGGTGCGATCTTGGCTCACTGCAACCTCCGCCTCCTGGGTTCAAGAAAATCTCCTGTGTTCAAGCAAATCTCCTGCCTCGGCCTCCCGAGTAGCTGGGATTACAGGCGCCCCATACCATACCTGGCTAATTTTTGTATTTTTAGTAGCTATGGGGTTTCACCATGTTGGCCAGTCTGGTATTGAACTCCTGACCTCAAGTGATCCACCCGCCATGGCTTCCCAAAGTGCTGGGGTTACAGGCATGAGCCACTGTGCCTGGCTTTACCTTTTAATTCAACAACTGATAAACAAAACAAAAATTTTATTCATTTGACAAAAAAGTAAAGCCTGACAAACTGTCTTTTCACAGTTACCATAATGCTTGTAGCTATAAGCACACCTTTTTTCTGAGATTATAAGTAGCAGTGATGAGCCTCCACAAGGAGCATTATTACAAATGATTCAAGAAACATAGATCCTTTAAGTCATCTTGATTTATTTGCTAACATCATTCCACCCATCCTGCACCTCTCCACAACAATCCCTTTGCAGAATATTACTATAAAATGAAGGTAGAAATATTCCTCCCTTTGTGCCTAAGTAACTCCCAATGTCAAAATAATAATGTAGTCATAAACAAATATGATGCGCTATGTATCAAACAACTCTAGGATATTAAGTCAAGTGTATACTGAACTTAAATACTAGCTATGCCGTTTTAAAAATTATAACCATGTTCTCAGTGATTGTGGATAATAGTTCAGCACAGTGGGATAAAGGCAAATAGGTCAGTTACCTGAAATTAACTGTATTTAAATGATTATGATTTAATATACTATCTCTTCTCAAAAGTACATTTTACAAAATAACCTTGGGGTAATGAAATTATTCTACAGTAAATAATTCATTGTTTGAAACACTAATGTCTCCCTAATATACTTTTATCTAGAAATAGCAAGGAAAACTTCGAATAGATCATCTAAGAAAGAACATTGTAATTCAACAGAGAAGAGACGGGAAATATCTAAGGCAAGGAAGGAAAGGTAAGCAAGGCAGCCTGCTCCTCCAGGATTGTCTAGGAGCTCAAAGAGGCTCCCCAGTGCGAGGAAAGGGTGAGAGATCTGAGCAGTTTATATTCCCATAGTAAACTCCTGCAATCCTAGCCACAGGCCAGCCCCTTGATCCTCATGGGCCCTGAACATAGGGAGCTGCCTGGAGATCATGCGAAGGCATTGCTCTACACAGGGAGCTCATGCTAAGTCCTACACATACCCACGGGACGCAAGCAGGTACAACATAGTGCCATTTTGAGAGCCTAGCTCCCATCAGGTGGCATCTTGTCCTGTGGTCTAAAAGCCCCTTCATCGCCACATCTCTGAAGCCGCCTTGATATCCCTGCCCACAACTACTGCTACTGCTGGCTATTCCCACTGGAACTGAAGTGTGAGCCTGTGGCAGTGTCCCGGACATGCCCAGCAGTGGAGCTGCCACACATTTGCATATTCCCAGAGTGTAGACTCCCCAGGCTTACAACTGCTGCTGTTACTGGCTGCTCCATCTGGCAGTGATCCCACTGCCCCTAGCAGCAGGGTTTACAGTAATTTACACACGCCCTAAGGAGAGACTCTCCTGTCCACAGGCATGCCCCAATGCTAATTGTTGCTGCCAGTGAGTGCTGAAACACACCTCACTGGCAGTAAACCCACCACCCTCACAAGCATCAAGGCTGCCAAACATTTGCACATGCCCTGAAGACAGGCTACTTTGCCTGCAGCCACAGCCATCACCAGACGTGGCCACTGGGTGCTGAAGCAGAAGCCACTGGAAGTGACCCCACCAACTTCAGCAGCAGGGTCACTGCACATTTGCATGTACTCTAAGGACAGGATCCCCACCCACAGCCACTGCCACTATTGGCTGTTGCTTCCAGGTAACCCAAGCGTAAGCCACTGGCAGCAACCTTGTCAACCTCAGCAGTAGAGCTCACATGCATTTACATGTGCTTTGAGGACAGGCTCCCCTGCACACAGCTGTCACTGGTGCTGAACTGTGCACTGCCCAGTTGCCTGGCTATGGCTGCTGCCACTGACAGCACCGTGCTCTTTCCGGGAACAGGGCCATAATGTACTTCTGCATGCTTGAGGAGAGGTTCCTCTGACCACCACCACTCCTGCCATTTCCACCTGAGCACTCCACAGGGGTCCTGAGGACAACCATATTTCTGTCCACGATGGCCAGTGGCCAGATGTACCATCAGGGAGCCTAAAGACAGAGTTGCCCAATTTGACCCCACCCTTCCCAGTGGCAGATTACATTATCTGGGCTGGGATTGCCCAACTTTGTCCATCACAGTTAGTACCTGAGCACCTTGCCCAGGGGCCTGGAGATGAGCCCACTAAGCCTGCTATTACAAGCACATCTGGCACCTATCTGCATGTGCCACCAGTGGGTCAAGGGACTAACCAGCATAGCTTGATGCAGCCACTACTAACACCAGTATGGATCCCCTGAGAGCCAGAGGGTTAGTCCATCATTTCTATTGCCATTGTACCTATCATACCCACTGCCCATGGACCGAAGGACCTACCCAGCCTACCACTGCCACTGCTGACACCCAAGCAAACTGCCTGCAGGCCGAAGAATCAGGCTGCCTGAACCTGCTAATACCAGGGCTAGCATATCCCAAACAAGAGCCCAAGGACAGGCGCGCTCGGCCTGCTGCTGCCACCAATGGAGCCTGAGAACTGGCACACCTGGTGTCTCGATTCCAGGTGAAACTTCACCACAGCCTCTTTTTAAAACCACGCACAAAGCCACTGAGAAAATCACAGAAACCATTGAGGCCATTCACAGCTAAATAAATTATATGGGAACTACACTAGTGCACACACAGAGAGTCAAAGCTAAAGTGCCCTAACCAATCAATACCATAGGTATATCTTTTGTAAGATGTCTTCCCCTAACAGCAAATTCAAAAAATTGGAAGAAGCAACTGTTATACCAGATGTGCAGATATCAATGTAACATAAAAAGGAAGGAAATATGCAACACCAAATAAATACGATAATTCTCCAGCAACAGAGTCCAATAAGAAAGGTACGAAATGCCTAGAAAATCATTCAAAATAATGATATTAAGGAAGCTCAATGAGATGCAAGGGAACACAGATAAACAATAAAAAGAAATTTTAAAAAATTACTAATGAGATAGATATCATAAAAACAGAGCCAAACAAAAATCCTGGAATTGAAAAATTAATTGAATAAAAATTATACATATATATATATGTTTAAGAGCTTCAGCAACAGACTACATGAAGCAGAAGAAAGAATTTTAGAATTTCAATGTAGGTCTTTGGAAATAATGTAGAAAAAATTAAAAAATATAATTAAAAAATGAACAAAGCCTACATGACATATGGGATACCATAATTTTCAAATTTTTACTGTCCCAGAAGGCAAAGATAATGACAAAGGGATAAAAAACCTATTTAACAAAACAATCATTGAAAACTTCCAACATTTAGCATGAGATGTAGATACACAGATACAAGAATCTCAGAGATCCCCATATAATACAATGCAAAAAGGACTTCAACACTACACATTATAGTCAAATTGTCACAAGTCAAAGTCAAAGAGAATTCCAAAAACAGCAAGGGAAAAGTATCTAGTCACTTATAAAGGAACACTCAGACTAACAGAAAATTTCTCAGCAGAGATCTTATAGGTCAGGAGAGAATGAGATAAACAACAACAACAACAAAGAAAACTATGAGTTCTAATAAACAAATTCAGTAAAGTTGCAGGATACAAAAACAACATTCAAAAATCAGTGCATTCCTATATTTAAAAAACGAATGAACTAAAGAAGACATCCAGAAGGCAATCACAACTACAAGAGCTACAAAGAATACCTAAGAATAAAATTAATGAAGGAAATGAAAGGCCTCCTAAAAAAGTAAAAAACCTACAAATCGCTAATGAATGAAATTGAAGAGAACACAAACAAATGGAAAGATATCCCATGCTCATGAATAAGATGAATTAGTGTCATTAAAATGACCATAATGCAGAAAGAAATCTACAGATTTAGTGCAATCTCTAGCAAAATACCGATGTCACTTTTCTAAAAAACAGAAAACAATCCTAAAATTTGTCTGGAAGAAAAAAGAGGCTGCATAGCCAAAGCAATCCTGAGCCAAAAGAACAAAGCTAGAGGTATCAAACTACCTATGTCCAAATATATTACAAGGCTCTAGTAATTAAACAGCATATTATTACTTTTTTATTTGAATTCCTTTTATTTTTAAACTTATAAGTTCAGGGGTACATGTGCAGGTTTGTCACATAGGTAAATGTGTGTCATGGGTGTTTGTTGTACATTATTTCATTATCCAGTTATTAAGCTTAGTACCCATTAGTTATTTTTCCTGATCCTCTCCCACCTTCCACCATCCACCCTTTGATAGGCTTCAGTGTGTGTTGTTCCCCTCTATGTTTCCATGTTTTCTCATCATTTAGCTACCATTTATAAGTGAAAACATGCAGTACTTGGTTTTCTCTTCCTGCATTAGTTTGCTAAGGATAATGGCATACAGCTCCATTCATGTCCCTGCAAAGAACATGATCTTGTTCTTTGTATGGCTGCATAGTCTTCTATGGTGTATATATATGCACCACATTCTCTTCATCCAGTCTATCACTGATGGGCATTTAGGTTGACCCCATGTCTGCTATTGCGAATAGTGCTGCAATAAACATACCTGTGCATGTGTCTTTATGATAAAACATTTTATATTCCTTTGGGCATATACCCAGCAATGGGAAGGCTGGGTTAAATAGTATTTCTGTCTTTAGGACTTTTAGGAATCATCACACAGCCTTCTGCAATGGATGAACTAATTTACACTCCCATCAACAGTGTATAAGCATTCCTTTTTCTCCACAACCTCACCAGCATATATTATTTATTGGCTTTTTAATGATAGCCATTCTGAGTGGTGTGAAATAGTATCTCATTGTGGTTTTGATTTGCATGTATCTAATAATCAGTAATGTTGAGTTTTTTTTATGTTTGTTGGCTGCATGTAAGCCTTCTTTTGAGAAGTGTCTATTCATGTCATTTGACCATTTTTAATGGGGTTTTTTTTTCTTGTAAATTTAAGTTCCTTGTAGATGCTAAATATTAGACCTTTGTCAGTTGAATAGATTGCAAAAATTTTCTCCCATTCCGTAGGTTGTCTGTATACCCTGTTGATAGTTTATTTTGCTGTGCAGAAGCTCTTTAACTAGATTCCACTTGTCAATTTTTTCTTTTGTTGCAATTGCTTTTGTTATCTTCATCATGAAATGTTTGCTCATGCATATGTCCTGAATGGTATTGCTGAGGTTGTCTTCCAGGATTTTTTATAGTTTCAGGTTTTACTTTTAAATCTTTAATCTATCTTGAGTTAGTTTTTGAATATAGTGTAAGGAAGGAGTCCAGTTTCAATCTTCTGCTTATGGCTACCCAGTTATCCCAGTACCATTTATGGCATAGGGAATCCTTTCCCCATGGTTTGTTTTTGCCAGGTTTGTCAAAGATCAGATAGTTGCAGGTGTATGGTCTTATTTCTATGTTCTGTATTCTGATCCATTGGTCTAAGTATCTGTTGTTGTACCAGTACTATGTTGTTTTGGTTACTTTAGTCCTGTATTATAGTTTAATGTTGAGTAGCGTGATGCCTCCAGCTTCGTTCTTTTTGCATAGGATTGCCTTGGCTATTCGACTTCTTTTTTGGTTCTATATTATATTTAAAAATTTTTTTCTAGTTCTGTGAAGAATGTCAATGAGAGTTTAATGGGAATAGCATTGAATCTATATATTACTTTGGCCATTATTGTCATTTTAACAATATTGATTCTTCCTATTTATAAGCATGGAATGTTTTTCCATTTGTGTCATCTCTGATTTCTTGGAGGAGTGTTTTCTAGTTCTCCTTGTAGAGATCTTTCACCTCCCTAGTTAACTGTATTCCTAAATATTTTCTTCTTTTTGTGGTGATTGTGAATAGGAAGAGTTGGTTTGTGATTTCGGTCTCGGCTTAACTGCCGTTGGTGTATAGGAATGCTAGAAAATTTTGTACACTGATTCGGTATCCTGAGACTTTGCTGAAGTTGCTTCTTCACTTAAGCAGCTTTGGGGCTGAGACTATGGAGTTTTCTAGATATAGAATAATGTCATCTGCCAACAGAGATAGTTTGAATTCCTCTCTTCTAATTTGAATTCCCTTTACTTCTTCCTCTTGCCCTATTGTCCTGGGTATAACTTCCAAAACTATGTTGAATAGGAGTGGTGAGAGGGGGCATCCTTATCTTGTGCCGATTTTCAAGGGGAATGCTTCCACTTTTTCCCATTCAGTATGTTTGCTGTGGGTTTGTCATGTATGTCTCTTATAATTTTGAGGAATATTCCTTCAATATCTAGTATATTGAGAGTTTTTGACACGAATGGGTATTGAATTTTATCAAAAGCCTTTTCTGGATTTATTGAGATAATCATATGGTTCTTGTCTTCAGTTCTGTTTATGCGATGAATCATATTTGTTGATTTGCATATTTGGAACCAACCTTGCATCCCGGGGATGAAGCCTACTTGATCATGGTAGATAAGCTTTTTGATTTGCTGCCGGATTCACTTTGCCAGTATTTTGTCAAGGATTTTTGCGTCAATGTTCATCAAGAACATTGGCCTGGCACTTTCTTTTCTTGCTGTATTTCTGCCAGGATTTGGTATCAGAATAATGCTGTCCTCATAAAATTAGTTAGGGAGGAGTCCCTCCTCCTCAATTTTTTTTTTACGTAGTTTTAGTAGGAATGGCACCACATCTTTGTACATCTGGTAGGTTGAGCTGTGAATCCATCTGGTCTTGGGCTTTTTTTGGTTGGTAGGCTATTTATTACTTCTTCGATTTCAGAACTCGTTTCTTCCTGGTTAAGTCTTGGGAGGATGTATGTGTTCAGGAATTTATCCATTTCTTCTAGATTTTCTAGTTTATGTGCATAGAAGTGTTCATGATATTTTCTGATGGTTGTTTGTATTTCTGTGGGGTCATTGGTAAAGTCTCCCCTGTTGTTTCTGATTGTGTTTATTTGAATCTACCCTCTTTTCATCTTTATTAGTCTATCTAATGGTCTATTTTATTGTTTTTTCAAAAACACAGCTCCTGGATTCATTGATATTTTGAATTTTTTTGTGTCTCAATTCCTTCATTTTGGCTCTGATTTGATTATTTGTTTTCTTCTGCTAGCTTTGAGATTTGTTTGCTCTTGGTTCTCTAGGCTTTTTTAGTTGTGATGTTAGGTTGCTAACTTGAGATTTTTCTAACTTTTTGATGTGGGTATTCAGTGCTATACATTCCCCTCTTAACACTGCCTTAGCTATGCCCCAGAGCTTCTGGTGCATTGTATCATTGTTCTCATTAGTTTCAAAGAACTTCTTGATTTCTGCCTTAATTTCATTATTTACCCAAAAGTCACTCAGGAACGGGTTATTCAATCTTCATGTAATTGTATGGTTTTGAGTGAATTTCTTAGTCTTGAGTTCGAGTTTGATTGCACTGTGGTCTGACAGACTGTTATTATTTCATTTCTTTCACATTTGCTGAAGAGTGTTTTACTTCCAATTAGGTGATTGATTTTAGAGTAAGTGCCATGTGGGGATGAGAATAATGTATATTCTGTTGTTTTGGGGTGAAGAGTTCTGTGGATATCTATCAGGTCTATTTGATCCAGTGTGGAGCTCAGGTCCTGAATATCTTTGTTATTTTTCTGTCTTGATGATCTTTCTAATATTGTCAGTGGGGTGTTAAAATTTCCCACTATTATTGTGTTTGAATCTAAGTCTCTTTGAAAGTCTCTAATAACTTGCTTTATGAATCTGAATACACCTGTGTTTGGTGGATATATATTTAAGATAGTTAGCTCTTCTTGTTGAAATGAAGCCTTTACCATTACATAATGCCCTTCTGTGTCTTTTTTGATCTTTGTTGTTTTAAAATCTGTTTTGTCAGAAACTAGGATTGCAACCTCCACCTTTTTTTCTGGTTTCTATTTGCTTGGTAGATTTTCCTCCATCCCTTTATTTTGAGCCTATGTGTGTCACTGCTTGTGAGAAGGGTCTCTTGAAGACAGCATACCAATTGGTCTTTTTTTTTTTCCAGCTTGCCACTTTGTGTTTTTAAATTAGGACATTCAACTTATTTACAGTTAAGGGTCAGCATTAATATGTGTGGATTTGATCCTGTGACTATGACATTAGTTGTTTATTTTGCAGACTTGTTTCTGTGGTTGCTTTATATTTCCACTGGTTTCTGTACTTCATTGTGTTTTTGTAGTGATTGGTAAAGGTATTTTCTTTCCATATTTAGCACTTCCTTCAGGAGCTCCTTTAAGGCAGGTCTGGTGGTAACGAATTTCCTTACAATTTGCTTTACTAAAAAAAAATCTTATTTTTCTTTCACTTATGAAGCTCAGTTTGGCCAGATATGAAATTCTGGGTTGGAATTTCTTTACTTGCAGAATGTTGGATATTGGCCTCTGATCTCTTCTGGCTTGTAGGGTTTCAGCTGAGAGGTTCGCTGTTAGTCTGATGGGCTTCCCTTAGTAGGTGACTTGGCCTTTCTCTCTAGCTGCCCTTAACATTTTTCCTTTCATTTTTAACTTTGGAGAATCTGACGATTTTGTGTCTTGAGGATGATCTCCTCATATCTTACTGGGGTTTTCTGCATTTCCTATATTTGAATGTTGGCCTTTCTAGCTAGGTTTGGGAAGTTCTCACGAATGATATCCTGAAATATGTTTTTTTTTTCAAAATTGGTTTCATGCTCCCCATTTTTTCAGGTACACCAATCAGTCATAGATTCGGTCTTTTTACATATTCCTGTATTTCCTGTATGCTCTGTTCATTCTTCATTCTTTTTTAAAATTCTTCTCTGCATGTCTTACTTCAGAAAGACAGTCTTCATGCTGTCAGGTTATTTCCTCTGCTTGGTCTATTCTGCTATAAATACTTGTGATTGCATTAGAAAATTCTTCTAATGTGTTTTTTAGCTCTATCAGGTTGGTTACATTTTTCTCTCTACTGGCTAGTTTGCCTGTCATCTGCAGTGTCTTATGATTTTTAACTTCCTTGCACTGGGTTACAACATGCTTTTTCTTAGATCATTGAAATTCATTTTTATCCATATTCTGAATTCTCCTGCTGTCATTTCATCCATCTCAGCCTCAGCCCAGTTTGAAACCCTTGCTGGAGAGGTGATGCAGTCATTTGGAGGAAAGTGGGTGCTCTGGCTTTTTGAGTTTTCAGCGTTCTTACAATGATTCTTGCTCATCTTTGTGGGCTTATCTACCTTCAATATTTGAGGTTGCTGGCCTTTGGCTGGGTGTTTTTTCTTTAAAGAGTCTGGTCACTTCTTAGGGCTGCTGTGGTTTGGTGGGGATCAACTACAACCCTAGTCACCTTGGATTTTCCTGTAACTGGAGGTATCCCCAGTGAAGACTGTGAAACAACAAAGATGACAGCTTTCCCCTTCCTCTGGGAGCTCCATCTCAGGGAGTTATAGACCTGCTGCTGGGCTGGATGCACCTATAGGACGTGGCTGGAGACCCTGGTTGGGAGGTCTCATCAAGTCTGGAGAAACAGGATCGGGGGCCCGCTTAAAGAAGCAGTCTGGCCATGCTTAGCTGTCTTGTGCTGGGGTACCACTTCCATCCCCAGTTGGCTTGGGCTGTCCAAAGCCTGGAGACTGAAATAGCTAAGTCTTCCCAAAAATAAAGATGGTGGCCTCCCCCTCCTCCCGGGAACTCCATCCCAGGGAGAATTCAAATCTCTGTGGGCCAGAGAACACTGGTGGGTGTGGCTAGAGTTCCTGATTGGGAGATCCCACCCAGTGAGGAGGAATGGATCAGGGACTCACTTAAAGTAGCAGTCTGGCCATGTTTTGCCAGAGAAGCTCTGCTGTGCTAAGGGATTTCTTCCATTCCCAGTTGGTTTGGACTCTTCAAAGCCTGTAGGCTGGGATTGCTGAGTTGTCCAAAGAGCAAATATGGTGACCTGCCCCTCTCTCCAGGAACTCTGTCTCAGGTAGGCAAAACACTGTTGCCAGTGGCTGGCTGGATTTTCAAGCCATTGGGTCTTAACCTGTGAGGAACCATGGGAGTGCGGCCCACAGACCAAGACTGCTCAGCCTCTTTCGTAGGGGTATATACAGAGTTGTAACTCTCGCTTTGCCAGAGTTGCAGTTGCTTTTGCTGGGAAGCCCTGAGGAGGAGTATGTAATGCTCTTGGTTCTCTGTGTATGCCTTGTGGTTGCTTTGTGGAGACTCCAAGTAGCTGTGTGTGTCAGACTGAAGGCACTGGTGGAGTGGATTCATGAGGGGATCTCTTGACCTGAGGGTTGCAAAGATCCATGAGGGAAGCATTGTTGATCAGGGTCGCACATTCACTCACTGCTTCCCTGTGCACAGGGCATTCCATTGGCTCTGTGTTGCTCCTGGGTGGGCTATCACTATGCCTTGCTTTTCTCCATTTTCCATGGGTCAAGATGTTTCCTTGATTAGTCCCAATGTGTGTACTTAGATGTTTTAGTTGAGGGTGCTCTGTTTACTTGTCCCTTTAGTTCCTCTCTGTGAGACTCACACACTGTAGCTACTTCTTGTCAGCCATCTTGGCCATGCTCCCCCAGCATATTATTGATACAAAAACAGATGCGTGGACTAATGGCATAAAATAGTGACCCCATAAATCACATATTTGCAGTCAAAGGATTTTTGACAGAGGCACCAAGAACATACACTGGGGACAGGATACCCTCTTCAAGAAATGTTGCTGAAAAAAAATATCCATATGCATAAGATTGAAACTGGACCCATATCTCCACCATAAACAAAAATCAACTCAAGACTTCAACGTAAGACCCAAAACTCTAAAATGACTAGAAGAAAACTTAAGGGAAACACTTCAGGACATGGCTCTAGGCAAAGACATTATAGCTAAAACCTCAAAAGCACAGGTAACAAAACCAAAAATAAGAAAAATGAGACTATACTAAACCAAAATGATTCCGCACACCAAAGAAGACAGTCAACACAATAAAGGGACAAACTGTTAAATGCAAGAAAATATTTTCAGAATATTTACTCAATAAGAGACTATTATCTCAAATGCACGAGGAAATAAAAAAACTCAACAGTAAAATAAAAACAAATAATTCCACTAAAATGGGCAAAGACACTTATCAAAGGAAGTCATTCAAATGCAAAACAGGTACATGAAAAAATGTTCACCATCGCTAATCATCAGGAAAGTGCAAATCAAAACCATAACGAGATACCACCTTACCCCAGTTAGAATGGCTATTACTGAAAAGAAAAAATAACAGATGCTACCTAGAATGTGGAGAAAAGGGAACCCTTATACACTGTTGGTGGGAATATAGATTAGTACATCCACTATGGGAAACAGTATGAAGAGTTCTCAAAAAACTAAAAATATAACTACCACTTTATCGAGGAATCCCACTGAGTATTTATGCAGAGTAAAATAAATCAGTATATCAAAGAGATAACCTGCACACCTATGTGTGTTGCAGCACTGTTCACAATAGCAAAGATCTGGAATCAACTTCAGTGTCCATCAACAGATGAATGGTCAAATAAAACGTGGCATATATAGACAATGGAAAGCTATTCAACAATAAAAATCAATGACATCAGGTTATTTGTAGCAACATAAATGAAACTGGAGGTCCTTATATTAAGTGAAATAAGTCAGGCACAGAAATACAAATACCACCTGTTTTCACTCATATGTGGGAGTTTTAAAAGTCGATCTCATGGCAGTATAGAGCTGAAGGATAGATACAAGAAGAGGGGAAATGTGTGTAGGTGAAGGGAAGATAAAGAGAGGGTGATCAGTAGGTATATAGATTAGAAGAAATAAGTTCTAATATTCAGTATCAGAGGAAGATGACTATAGTTAAGAACAACGTACCGTATACTTCAAAATAGCTAAAAGAGAGGACTTCAAATATCCCCGACACATAGAAATGATAAATAATACTTGCTTGAGATGATGGACACTCTAAATACCAAGGTGAACATTACACATTCTATGCATGTAATAAAACATCACATCTCCCTCATAAATATGTACAAATATTACATATCGATAAACTATAAATATTAAGGCAGTAAATGTGAAGTACAGTATTGTAAATGTCTATTTCCATATTTAGCAATGGAAATCACAAGGAACTGATATAATTTAAAGAGGAACCTTTGTTATTAAATGGTAAAGTATGCCTCTCTGACCTGATATAGGTGTGACTAGATAATACAAATTGTTCTATGTAATTTACACACGATTTTAAAAATTATAAAGTAGAAATACTGATGCCAAAGTCTTTGTGAAATGTGTTAAAGTAAAATAGTCAGTGGTATATTTAGCTACTGACCTCTATTCTCTCCTAGTTATTATGGCAAGATGATGAAATCACAAATGCAAGACAGACGTTTGTCCACCCAGGTTAGTGTCCTGGATAAAAGAGAAAACACGCCTTTGTTTTATGCCCAGTAGTACACGTGGCAATACTGAGACATATTTTAACAAAATAAAATAGTAAAATATATGCTCTAGAGCAAACTTTTGCTATAAGAATACATGAGATTTACCCAAATTCCTAATTCAGTTTTGACATGGATATTTTAAAAAGTCATTTAGCTTCAAAATGCGTATTAAGTCTACCCAAATTATGAAATTCCTACACATCCTGTATCTAAGAGCACTAATTCTGTTTTTTTCACTCTAAATAAGCTATATCTAAAGAAGATATAAGCATTCAACTTATGTATACATCACCAAATTCCCCTGAATGACACCCTCAGGAAAACAAAACAACCCAGGGAAACTATTAACTAAATGCATGTATGGAAGTATACATAAACATACACGTACATATCTATATGTGTACACATCATATATATATATATATATATATATATATATACACATATGTAGATATCTTCTCACAAAAAACACATGTTAACTTAGTCTCTTATCCATTTTATGAAGTGGCTTCCTTCGGCAATGTCAAATGTGATTATATTTTACGTCATGTTAACATTGGATAGTAAATTGAGTGCAATGGCTTTCAGAGCGCAGGTTGTAAAACAGCTGTCAAATATCAACCAGAATCACATTTGAATTTACAACCTAGAACTGAAAGGTCCTTTCAACCTTTTGCACCGAATATGGAAAGAAAAAGATTTAGAATACATTTTGACTTTTGAGAGTTGATACATTTAATAAAGGCTTGTTAAAACAAAATAGCTGTGAATGAATAACATATTGCAAGCCATGACTAAAGGAACATTTGTGAAGAGTCCATTTATGCACTATGCCATTTATCACTACAAACTATGAATATCCTGGAGGTAAAATTTTCCAAAAAGTACAGTGTTTTATAAAAAAGAGTATTGTTTATTTAAAAACTGTAATTTGTAAACACAGTCATGTAATTATTCCTGGCTAAAGTATTTTATTTTAGTTGTAAGGAAATTACTATGTTTACTTTAAAAGGCTTAAAAAATACTAGCTAGTGGCACAGTCTTAAAATCATAATATTTAAATGTAAAAATATTATAAAGCAACATGCAAAATATATTATTTAAAATATATATCTAAAGAGAATATACAATATATAGAAGAAAACATTAAAACATCAATAGACTTTCCATATGGAGGTGAAATTAGATGGTAATCTTTATTTTATTTACCATGCTTATATGCATTTCCCAAATTTTCTACAGCAAGTTGCTATTACTTTGGTAACAAAAAAGTAAAATATCCATATATCTGTGAAATTATATTTTCTCTCTCTGACCATGTAAACCTATATGGATCTCTCTAGTTGGTAATAAAGCCACGAAAATTATTATGGAAAAGGAGAGAACAATCAAAATTAGATGTGTTTTCCATTTTGTGTCTTATCTATGGTATAGGCTATCTTATTGCCTCTGCATTCTGAAAAAAAAAAAATAGAAAAAAGAATGAGAGGTTAAAATAACAAACCTATTTTTCCTTCTTTCCAGAACTGATTTCTAATAGTGTCTTTTTCTATATCCACCTTAATTCTTCCCCTTCAAAATAATAGACAGTTTTCCCACCTTTGGATTTCTTACTGGTAAATTGTTGTCTTCACTCAGGCCAGCAAGTGAGCTTTCTCACACTTCAAGAGAAAGCAAAAGCAACATATATAAAGCAAAAGAAAAAGTAGAAATACTGCAGAAAGGCCTTTTTTAATGTGCGAACTGGAAGGCTGAGTTTTAGCAGTTTTCTAAAACTGGCCCTAGCATTCACCATTGAATTGTGGAAAGATTGCAGCAAAGCTCTATGTCCAATTGAATCAAATCATCCAGAGCAGCTCTGTCCAATAGAACTTGCTGTGATGATAAAGATGTTCCACAGCTTCTCTGTCCAATAAGGTTGTCTATTAGACAATTGTGGCTAATGATTAAAATGTGACTAGCATTGCTGAAGAACTGAATTTTAATTTTATATGATTTTAATTAGTTTAAACATAAATTGCTACATGTGACTAGCATATCCAAAGTATTCAACTTAACACATAATACCCTTGATCCTAAAAAATGAAGTTGTAGGGTAAAAAAGAGTAAATAAAATGTCAGGGTGAATTTTAATAGCTTTATTAAGATATAATTTGTGCATCATAAAATCAATTTATTTAAAATGCATAATTCAACAGTTTTTTAGTGTATTACAGAGTTGTCAAGCATTACAAATATCTAATTTTAGTTTCATCACCCTAAAAAACTCTATATATTAATATTCATGCCCCACAGCCCCCGCCAATTCCAGCACTAGGTAACAACTAATGTACTTTCGATCGATATACCTTTGCCTATACTGGACATTTCATATGATATCGTAGAACGCGTGGTCTTTTGTGACTCCTTTCACTTAGAAGAATGCTTTCATAATTGATCTATGTTCCAGTATGTACCAGCACTTCATTATTTTATTGCCAAATAATATGCCATTGCATGAATGTAGCACATTTAGCCAATCTATTTGTCAGCAGATGGATAAGGTGGTTCTTTTCCACACCAACTGATATGAACAATGTTTCCGTGAAGATTACTGCAAATGTTTTGTGTGAATATGTTTTCATTTCTCTTGCATATATACTTGTGAGTGAAATTTCTGGATAATGCTCTTAACTCAGTGTTTAACATTTGAGGGACCACCAAACTATTTTTCAAAGCAACTGCACTATTTTATATTAGCATCTGTAATGTATAAGGGTACATATTTTTCCACATTCTCCCCAACAGTTGTTTTTGTCTGCCTTTTATTAGAGCTATCCTAGTGAGAGTATGAAGTGGTATTTCACTGAGGTTTTGGTTTGCAATTTTTTTTTATTACAAATGATGTTGGGCATCTTTTCATGTACTTATTGAAGCAGTTTATTTTGGAGAAATTCCTTTTAAAATCCATGACTCCTTTTTAATTAGGTGGTTTTTCTTTTTATTATTGACTCATGAGTTATTTATATATTAAGAATAGATAATATATAAATAACATATATCCCCTTATCAGATAATATATATCCCCTTATCAGATACATATTTTGCAAATATTTTTCTCATTTTGTGGGTAGTCTTTCACTTTCCTGATTTCCTATTTGCAGTAGAAAAGTTTTAAATTCTAATGAAGTCCAATTTATTTATTTATTTTTTTGTCACTCAGACTTTTCTTATTGTATATAAGGAAACTTTGCCTAACTAAAGTCACATAAACTTAGTTTTGTGTTTCACTCTATGTGTTGAAGTTTAACTCTTACATTTAGATCTATTATTTATTTGAAGTTTTGCATACAGAGTGAGGTAGAAATCTAATTTTATTCCTTTTCATGTGGATTGTCAGTTTTTTCAGCACCGTTTGTTGAAAAGGTTATTTTCCCCATTGTCTTGGAACATTTGTTGAAAATCAACTTAACATAAATGTAAAGGTTTATTTCTAGACTATAAATTCTACTCCATCATTTATACGACTATCCTTCTGCCACTACCACACTCTGTGATTACTTTTTTTTTTTATTTGAGACAGAGTATCGCTCTGTCGCCAGGCTGGAGTGCAGTGGCACGATGTCAGCTCACTGCAACTTCCACCTCCCAAGTTCAACCGATTCTCCTGCCTCAGCCTCCCAAGTAGCTGGGACTACAGGCTTGCGCCACCACGCCCAGCTCATTTTTGTATTTTTAGTAGAGATGGGGTTTCACCATGTTGGCCAAGCTGGTCTTAAACTCCTGACCTCATGATCCGCCCACCTCGGCCTCCCAAAGTGCTGGGATTACAGGCGTGAGCCACCATGCCCGGCGATTACTGTAACTTCCTAGTAAGTTTTAAATCCAGGAACTGTGAGGCCTCCAACTATATTCTTCCCTTTCAAGATTGTTTTGGCTATTCTTGGCACTTTGTACCTCCATATGAGTTTCAGGATCAGTTTGTTAATTTCTCCAAAAAAAAAAAAGTCAACTGGGGTTATGGTACAGAATACATCAAATCTATAGATTAACACGTGGAGTGTTGACATGTTAACATCTTTTAATATGTGAATTTCTATTTATTTCAATCTTTTAAATTTAATTATTAACCTGAAAATGAAACTAAGAAATCCATTTGCAATAGCACCAACAATAAAAATACTCAGGGGTAGATTTAACAAATTCACTGCAAGGCTTATATCCTTAAAATGGCAAACCATTGCTGAGTGAAATTTAAAATATCTATATGGGTTATGTCTGTTTTGTTTCTCTGTCCCTTCTTCACTGTTTCTTTTTGATAAATGAATATTTTCTATTATAACATTTTAATTCAAGACTTTTAACTGTATACGTTGTTTCTTACTGACTATTCTATAGCTTGAAATATGCATGTTAATCCCTAAATATAATTAAAACTATGTTCACATAATTCCAGTGAGATATAGAAACTTTACCTTCATATAGCTCTATTTTCTACCCCCTATATTGTGATATTGTTATACATATTACATCAGAACATGTAACAAACCTGACAAACTTATTGTTATAATTGCTACCTTATATAACCTATGTCTGTTAAAGATGCTGACACAACAATGCACAGTACGTATATATTTTTAGAGTTTACTATATTAATATTCTTATTTACCATTTCTGGATATCTTCCTTTTTCATTTTTTTCCTCTGTTGGCTCAAGTATCCATCAGTTAGCATTTCTCTACTTCAACAATTTTTTTTTCTCACCTACCTCTTTTGTACTTTCAGTGCCACATATATTATATTTCAATTAATGTATGTCAAAACCTAATAATACACATAAAGATACAAAGATATGTCATGTTATGCATTTGCTTTTCAGTAAGTTAAAAGAAGTAGGCATATGCATCCATAGTATCTTTTATATTTACTTATATAGTTATACTCTTTTTTTGTGTGGATTCAAATTACTGTCTGATGTCACTTGTCTTTATTCTAAAGAAACTGCTTTAGTATTTCTTGTAAGGCATGTCTGATAACAATAAATTCTCTGTTTTGTTTACTTGCTATTTAGCCTTCATTTTACATTTATTTACACTTTACTTTTGAAAGTTAGTTTTGCTGGATATATAATTCTATTTTGTTCTGTTTTATAATTTCAAATTTTATTTTAAATTCAGGAGGTAAACATATAGGTTTGTTACATAGATATACTTTGTGATGCTAAGGTTTGGGGTACAGATCTCAGGTAGTGAGCATAGTACCCAGTAGTTTTTCAGACATTATTTCCCTCCTTCCCTCCTCTCTCTAGCAGTTCACAGTGTCTATTGTTTCCATCTTTATGGCCACATGTACTCAAAGTTTAGCTCCCATGTATAAGTGAGAACATGTGGCATTTGGTTCTCTGTTCCTGAGTTAATTCATCTACAATTATGGCTTCCAGCTGCATCCATGTTGCCGCAAAGGACATAATCTCATTCTTTTTCATGGCTGCATAGTATCCCATGGTATATATGTACCACATTTTTTTCCTGTGAAAGCAACCATGTAATAGTTTATTTAGTATTAGACATTAATTGGTATCTTTGAAAAAAATATTTTGATTTACATTTTCTTCTACTTTTATTTCAATTTCTGGGGGTACATGTGCAGATTACTTACCTGGATAACTTGAGTGTCACCGAGACTGGGTGTATAAATAATCCTGTCACTCATATAGTGAGCATAGTGCCTGATAGGTAGCCTTCCAAACCATGCTCCCTACCCCCAGTCTCCCCACTTCAAGCAGTCTCCAGTGTCTATTGTTCCCAACTTTGTATCCAAGTGTATTCAGTATTTAGCTCCCAATTCTAAGTGAGAACATGTAGCGCTTGGTTTTCTGTTCCTGTATTAGTTTGCTTAGGATAATAACCTTCAGCTGCATCTATGTTGCTGCAAAGGACATGATTCTAACGGTTGTGTAGTATTCCATGGAGTATATGTCCCACAGTTTTTTGTTTTTTTGTTGTTGTTGTTGCTGTTTTTTGACGGAGTCTCACTCTGTCACCCAGGCTGGAGTGCAGTGGCACGATCTCAGCTCACTGCAACCTTCGTCTCCCAGGTTCAAGCGGTTCTTCTGCCTTATCCTCCTGAGTAGCTGGGACTACAGGTGTGTGCCACCACGCCCAGCTAATTTTTTTTTTTTTTTTTGTAGTTTTAGTAGAGGCGGGTTTCACCATATTGGCCAGGCTGTTCTCGAACTCCTGACCTCATGATCCGCCTGCCTCAGCCTCCCAAAGTGCTGGGATTATAGGCGTGAGCCACCGTGCCTGGCTGTCCCACAGTTTTTTTAAACCAGTCCACCATTGATGGGAATCTTGGTTGATTCCAGGTCCTTGCTATTGTGAATAGGGCTGTGATAAGCATGCAAGGGCATGTGTCTTTTTGGGAGAATTTATATTCCTTTAGATATATACCCAGTGGTGGGATTGCTGAGTTGAATGGTAGCTATGTTTTAAGTTTTTTCAGAGACCTTCATACTGCTTTCCACAGTGGCTGAACTAATTTCCATCCCCACCAGAAGTGCATCAGCATTTCCTTTTTTTCTGCAACCTCACCTTCATCTGTTGTTTTTTGACCTTTTAATGACAGTCATTCTGACTGGTGTGAGATGGTATGTCATTGTGGTTTTGATTTTCAGTTCTCTAATGATTAGTGATGGTGAGCATTTTTTCATGTGTTTGTTGCCTGCACATACGTCTTCGTTTGAGAAGTGTCTGTTCATGTACTTTGCCTATTCTTAACGGGGTTGTTTTTTCTTTGTTGAATTGTTTAACTTACTTATAGATACCAGATATTAGATCTTTGCTGGATATGTAGTTTGTGAATATTTTCTCCCATTCTGTAGGTTATCTTTCACTCTGCTGATAATTTCTTTTGCTGTGGCAAAGTTCTTTAGTTTAATTAGGTTCTACTTGTCCATTTTTGTTTTAGTTGCAATTGCTTTTGGGGACTTAGTCATAAATTATTTTTGAAGGTTAATGTGTACCACATTTTTAAAAAAAATCTAATGCACCATTGATAGCCTTCTAGGTTGATTCCATGTCTTTGTTATCGTGAATAGTGCTGCAGTGAACATACGAGTTCATGTGTCTTTTTGGGAGAATGATTCATTTTCCTTTGAGTATCTCACTATATTCTAGACTCAATTGTTACTAATGAGAAGCCAGTTAATGTTTTGGCTGTAAGCTTGTACCTGATGTGCACTTTTGTTTTGCTACTTTCAAAATTTTCAAGATTCTGACTATTATGTGGCCAGGTGCTAAAGTCCTTTGGTTTACTATACCTGGAGTTTATGGATCTTCTTAGATGTTTGGAATAATGTTTTTAATCAGCTGTGGGAAGTTTAAACCAGTATCTTCGAATATTTTTATTTTTGTGTTTTCATTCATTTTTATTTATGATTGACACATAATAATTGTACATATTTGCAAGGTATAATGTGATTTTTTGACACATGTATATATTTTGTAAGATCAATTCAAGGTAATTACAGTATCAATCACCTTAAAAGGTATCATTTCTTTGTGATGAGAACATTTAAAACCCATCTACTAGCCATTTTGAAATATGTAATACATTGTTGTTAACTCCAGTCATCTTACTATGCGGAGAACATTAGAATTTATTTCTTCTTTCCAACTGTGCCTTTGTACCTGCTGACCAATCTCATGCCCTCCCCCTCCTGCTCCTCTTCCCAGCCTCTGGTCTCCACTATTCTCCTCTTTACTTATATGAGAACATTTTTTATATTCCACATATAAGTGAGACCATGCAGTACTTGTTTTCTGTGCCTGGCTTTTTTTCACTTACCATGATGTCCTCTAGGTTTATCCATGCTGCTGCAAATAACAGGATCTCATGCTATTTTATGGCTTAATAGTATTCCGTGATACATATATACCACATTTTCTTATTCATTTATCTGTTGACAATAAGGTTGATTCTATCTCTTGGCTATTGTGAACAGTGACGCAGTAAACATAGGTGTGCATATATCTCTTTGCCATGCTGATTTCATTTCTATTGGGTATATATGCTGTAGTGGGATTTCTGGGTCATATGGTAGTTCTACTTATAATGTTTTGAAAATCCTTCATACTGTTTTCCATAATGCCTGTACTAAATTACATTCCCACCAGCAGTGTGTAAGTGTTTCCTTTTCTCCACATCCCCAACACTTGTTGTACTTTGATTTTGTGATAGTAGCCATTCTACCTTCACTGACATAATACCTCATTGCAGTTTTTGGTTACATTTTTCTATCAAAATACTGATGACATTCTGCACAGAAACAGACAAAAAAAGTATGTAACCACAAACTACCTTGAATAGCCAAAACAATCTTGAATAAACACCAAAGCTGGAGGTATCAAACAGCCTGAATTCAAAACATGCTACAAAGCCATAGTAACTAAAACAGCATGGCAGTGACATAAAAACAGACGCATAGACCAAAGGAACAGAATAGAGAATAGAGAAATCTACACATGTACAACCAACTGATTTTTGACAAAGTGCTAAGTACACAGAATGGAGAAAGGAATGTGTTCTCAATAAATGGTGCTGAGAAAAATAGATATTCACATAGAGAAGAATGAAATTATACCCATATCTCTCACCATATAGAGAAAAATAACTCAAAATGGATTAAAGACTTAAACAGAAGACTCAAACTATGGAACTACTAGAATAAAACACAGGGTAAAACTCTATGACATTAGACTAGGCAAAGATTTTTTTTTCGATAAAACTAAACAAGCACAGGCAACAAAAGCAAATACAGACAAATGGAATTACAGCAAACTACAAAGTTTCTGCACAGCAAAGGAAACAATGAACAGAGCAAAGAGACAACCTACAGAATGGGAGAATATATTTGCAAACTATATATCTGATAAGGGGTTAATATCCAAAATATGTAAATAATTCAAATGACTCAACAACAACAGCCTGTTATTTGCAACAACATGGACTGTACTGGAGACCATTAAGTGAAATAAGCCAGGCACAGAAAGACAAACATCCTATGTTGTCACTTATTTGTGGGATCTAAAAATCAAAATAATTAAACTCATGGACACAGAGAGTAGAAGGATGGTTACCAGAGGCTGGGAAAGGTAGTGGGGGGTTTGGAGGGAAGTGAGGATGGTTAATGGATCCAAAAATACAGTTATAAAGAATGAATAAGACATACTATTTGATTGTACAACAGGGTGACTATGGTCAATAATAACTTAATTGTACATTTTAACATAACTAAAGGAGTGTGATTGGATTGTTTGTAACACAAAGGATAAATGCTTGGGGGCATCGATACCCCATTCTGCATGATGTGATTATTTCACATTGCAGGCCTGTTTCAAAACATCTCATGTGCCCCATAAATATGTATACCTACTATGTACCAACAAAAATTTTAAAAAAATTTAAAGTGAGCAAATGTGACCCTATTTTGCTATCAAATAGTAGGTCTTCGTTGTACATTTAAAAATAACTAAAGGGGTATAGTTGGATTGTTTTTTAACACAGAAGATAAATGCTTCAGGGGATGGATACCCTACTCTCCATGATGTCAATATTATGCATTGCATGCCTGTGTCAAAATCTCTCATGTACCCCAGAAATGTATATATCTGCTGTGTACCCACAAAATGTACAAATTACAAATAAATTGAGCAAAAGACCCGAATTGACATTTCTCAAAAGAAGACACATAAATGGGCAACAGGTATATGAAAAAATATTCAACATTTTTGAATATCATTTTGTTCCTTTTTCTCTACCCTCTTTCTGGTTTTCCCATGAGAGTCATCTATATTAAACAGGTTAAAATAATCAAAAGCAATTGGCTCACAATAAATAGAGATGAGACCCGAGTGTGATAACAAGAGAGGAAACTAGTCAGATGCTTAATAGGAAGATCACGAAAAGAGAAAGTACAAGAAAACCCAGCTGAAAGCACCATCATCACTGGTGGTCAGGAAGACTGTATATAAACCCAAGGCTGCCACGTCTTTGGATTTAAAACATCCCAAGGTGAATATTGCAGAAAAAATAAACTTCACTGAATCAATCTAGCCGAATCACCAAACAAATGAACAAGTAAACAAACACAATGCACTCCAAAAGAGGGATAGATCAGCATGAAGAGTTGCTATATTATCTAAAATCTCCAGTTTTCAACAAGGATTTTTATTATTTTTTTATTATACTTTAAGTTTTAGGGTACATGTGCACAACGTGCAGGTTTGTTACATATGTATACATGTGCCATGTTGGTGTGCTGCACCCATTAACTCGTCATTTACATTAGGTATTTTTAAATCCTCAAATTCAGAATGAAATAAATTGACCTAGGTCACAGATCTAGTGGGTAACAGAGCTATAATCTAACATACTGGAAAGCAAGCCTCTTAAATATTAAGTTCCCATTTATTGTGGGTTTCTATGTGTGAGACACTGTGCTAAATACTTTATATGCATTATATTACTTCATCTTGCTCTCAACAATCCTCTGTGATGAAAATTATTACACTCAACTTTCAGATAAAAAAATGAGATCTGGAAAAATTTACAACCAGCCCAAGTAAATGTTGGACTAAGGATTTGATAAGATAAATAGCAAAACATTCCCTGCTTATAGGCTGAGGCCTCAGAATGACAGTTTTATATACATAGTCTGTTTTGCTACAATGGATGTTTTAACAATGCCGATTAGCTTATCCACATTAGGTAAACAAAGGAATGATAGTAGTTTAATGTTAAAGCCATTTTGAATCACTAGCCTTATTTCCTAGTAGGTTAATATTTTGATGTGACTGGAGCAAAATAACTTTCACAAGGCTTTCATAATTAATGGGAAAACTTTAGGCATATGTGAAGACCTTAAGAAAAACACACTTGAAAATCCCGGAAAAATGTCCTCCAGATTAAAAAGTGGTTGATTTAGTGACTTCAAGAATCACTACACTTTCAGCAATGTTAAACTATTTGAAGAAGGACCGACAAAGAGATTTCTCCAGTGTCTTTTTTTTTTCTTTTGTAAAGTGATGTAGACTACTAAACCCAGAGCATAGTGTTAATTTCGATACAACTGGTTACGAGTAGAAACAAATATACTCAAGGACCTATATCTTGAAGAAAGAAGAGTGAGCCTGAGAGTGTAAGGTTGAAAAAGATGAAGGGCCTGTGACACTAGGTATAAAATACAGTGGAGATGCAACTTCATTAATGGTTTACTAAGATGTATTTTAGAAATGTTTTTAAATTCTAAATTTCTGACACAGGGTTAGCATTGTTTTTCTTAGAGTTTGGGTTACAGTGTTCCTGAGGTTTTGAGTGGCTTCCCTCTTACTCTATTTTCCCAGTAAACCCCTATGCTTAGTGTGTACTTTTGCATAACAAATGCTTTTCAATAACACAGATACTATAGAAGAAATCTCACATATTAAAACTACATCCTTTAAAATTAAATTGAATTGCTTACATTAAAACTCCCATGCTTATACTGGATTTACATGTCCATATAGATTAGTGTGGCAATTTTTTTAAAATTAGCTGACATATAATCATTAAAAATTTGGGGTAGAATGACATTTCAATACATGTACAAATTCTGTAATAAATTATTTAGCATACCCATCAGCTCATACATTTATCATTTCTTTGTGATGAGAATATCCAAAATCCTATTAGCTATTTGGATATATGTAATACAATATTGTTAATCACAATTGTCACTCTAAATTGAACAGTAACTTTGTACCTATTGACCAATCTCTTCTTATCTTCCCTCTCTCCTACCCTCCTCAGCCTCTGGTAACTACTATTCTATTCTCTAATATATGAGATCAATATCTTTACATTTCACATGAGTGAGAAAATGTAGTATTTGTCTTTCTGTGCCTGGCTTATTTCACTTAAAAATAATGTCTTCCAAGATCATTCACATTGCTGCAAAAGACAGGATATACCTTTTTTATGGCTTAACAGTAGTTCATTGTGTATATAATACCACATTTTCTTTATTTCATTCATCCATTGGTGGACACATAGGTTGTTGCCATTTCTTGGTTACTGTGAAGAGTTCTGCAATAAACATGAGAGTGTAGGTATCTCCTGGAAATACTGATTTTATTTTCTTTGGATATACACCCAAGAGTGGAATTGCTAGATCATATTGGAGCTCTATTTTTAATTTTTTGAGGAACCTTCACACTATTTTTCATAATAGCTATACTAATCTACATTCACAATAAGAGTGTATAAATATTTCCCTTTCTCCACACCCATGTCAGCACTTGTTATTTTTCATCTTTTTGATAAGTCATTCTAATTAAGGTGAGGTGATGACTCATTGTGGTTTTGATGTATATTTCCATGATGATTAGTGAGGTTGAGCATTTTTCATATACTGCTTGGCCACTTATATGTCTTTTTTTGACAAAAATACCTAATGAGGACTTTTGTCCATTTTTTGATTAGATAATTTTTCTGCTACTGAGTTGTGTGAGTTCCTTAAATATTCTGGATGTTAACCCATTGTCTGATGCACACCTTGCAAATATTTTCTCCCATTCTCTAGGTTGTCCCTTTGCTCTGTTGATTGTTTCATTTGTTGTAGAGAAGCTTTTTAGATTGATGTGATTGATGCAATCCCATTTGCCTATATTTGCTTTTTGTATTGTCTGTGCTTTTGAGGTTTTTTTTTTTTTTTTTTTTTTTTTTTTTTTTTTTTTTTTTGAGACGGAGTCTCGTCTCTCCCCTAGGCTGGAGTGGCTCGATCTCGGCTCACTGCAAGCTCCGCCTCCCGGGTTCACGCCATTCTCTTGCCTCAGCCTCCCGAGTAGCTGGGACTACAGGCGCCCGCCACCACGCCCAGCTGATTTGTGGTGTTTTTAGTAGAGACGGGGTTTCACCGTGTTAGCCAGGATGGTCTTGATCTCCTGACCTTATGATCCTCCCACCTTGGCCTCGCAAAGTGCTGGGATTACAGGCGTGAGCCACTGCGCCCAGCCGCTTTTGAGGTTTTATAAAAAAAAAAAAAAAAAAAAAATCCTTGCCTACGCCAATGTCATGGAGCTTTTACCCATGAAATTTTATCCTTGTGATTTTATAATTTTGGTTGTACACTTAAGTAGTTAATTTGGAAAATTTTTTTGTATATATGTCGAGGTAGAGGTCTAGCTTCATTCTCTGCATGTGAATATGCAGTTTACCTAGCATCATTTATTGAAGAGATTGTTCTTTCACTAATGTGTGTTCTTGTCACCTATTGCAAAAATTTGTTGGCTGTGTGTCAGATGCATTTGTTGCATTGGTCTATGTGTCTATTTTTATGCCAACACTATGCTGTTTCAGTCACTATAGCTTTCTAGTCAATTTTGAAGACAGGTAATGTGATGTCTCCAACTTTGTTCTTTTTGCTCAGAATTGCTTTAGCTATTCTGGCTCATTCATTTGTGGTTCCATGTAAATTTTAGGGTTGTCATTTCTGTTTCTGTGAAGAACGTCATTGGTATTTTAGTATGGACTGCACTGAATCTACAGATCTCTTTGGATAGTATGAACATTTCAACGATGTTAATGATTCCAATCCATGAACACATGATATCTTTCCATTTATTTGTGTCCTCTTCAATTTTTTTCATCAATGTTTTACAGTTGTCATTGTAGAGATCTTTCATCCCTTTGGTTAAAATTATTCTTCGGTACTTCATTTTTTTTTTTGGTAATTATTGTAATTGGAATTGTTTAATTTCTTTTTCAGGCATTTTGCTATTAAAATGCTTCTTTTTGCATGTTGATTTTGTATTCTGCAAATTACTGAATTTGCTTATTAATTCTAGCAATTTTTGGTGGAATCTTTAGGGTTTTCTATATACAAGATCATGTCATCTGTAAAGAGGGACAATTTGAGTTCATCCTTTCCAATTTGGATGCCCTTTATTTCTTTTTCTTGCCTAATTGTTCTGGGTAAGACCAACAGTACTATGTTGAATAAAAATGATGAAAGTGGGCATCCTCATATAGCCAAGACAATCCTAAGCAAAAAGAACAAAGCTGGAGGCATCACGTTACTCAACTTCAAACTATACTACTGGACTACAGTAACCAAAACAGCATGATACTGGTACAAAAACAGACACACAGACTAATGGAACAGAATAGAGAACTCAGAAATAAGACCCTATACCTACAACAATCTGACCTTCAACAAACCTGACAAAAACAAGAAATGCAAAATGGATTCCCTATTTAATAAACGGTGCTGGAAGAACTGACTAGCCATGTGCAGAGAATTGAAACTGGACCCCTTCCTTACACCTTACACAAAAATCAACTCAAGATAGATTAAAGACTTAAATGTGAAACCCAACACTATAAAAACCCAGAAGAAAATCTAGGCAATACCATTCAGGACATAGGCATGAGCAAAGATTTCATGCTGAAAACACCAAAGGCAATTGCAACAAAAGCAAAAATTGACAATGGGATCTAATTAAACTAAAGGGCTTCTGTACAGAAAAATAGTCTATTATCAGAATGAACAGACAACCTACAGAATAGGAGAAAATTTTTACAACCTATTCATCTGACAAAGGTTTAGTGTCAAGCAACTACATGTAACTTAAATTTACAAGAAAAAAACAAACAACCCTATTAAAAAGTGGGCAAAGGGCATGAACAGACACTTCTCAAAAGAATATATTTATGCAGCCAACAAACATATGAAAAAAACCTCAACATCACTGATTATTAGAGAAATGCAAATCCAAACCACAATGAGATACCATCTCATGACAATCGGAAGGGCAATTATTAAAAAGTCAAGAAACAACAAATGCTGGTAAGGTTGAGGAGAAAAAGGAACATTTTACACTATTGGTGGGAACATAAATTAGTTCAACCATTGTGGAAGACAATGTGGTGATTCCTCAAAGATCTAGAGGCAGAAATACCATTTGACCTAGCAATCCCATTACTGGGTATATACCCAAAGGAATATAAATCATTCTGTTATAAAGATACATGCATGCGTATGTTCATTGCAGCACTATTTACAGTCATAAAGACATGGAATCAAACCAAATGCCCATCAATGATAGACTGGATAAAGAAAATGTGGTACATACATACATGCCATTGAATACTATGTAGCCATGAGAAGGAAACAGATCCTGTTCTTTGCAAGGACATGAATGGAGCTGGAAGCCATTATCCTTAGCAAGCTAATGCAGGAACACAAAAGCTAACACTGCATGTTCTCACTTACATATGGAAGCTTAACAATGAGAACACATAGACACATGGTGGGGATCAACACACACTGGGACCTGTCACAGGGGTAAGAAGAGGAAGACCATCAAGAAGAACAGCTGATGCATGCTGGGCTTAATACCTAGATGATGGGTTGATCTATGCAGCAAATCACCATGGCACACATTTACCTATGTAACAAATCTGCCCATCCTGCACAAGTAACCCAGAACTTGAAATAAAAGTTAAAAAAAAAAAGAATGTGAGCATCCTTGTCTTGTCATATATGGATTTGTAATAATTTGTCTTATATGACCTTTACTGTGTTGAGGTATGTTTATTCTACACCTAGTTTGTTGACAGTTTTTATCATGAAGGGATGTTATATTTCATCAAATGTTTTTTTCTGTATCTATTGAAATGATCATATGCCTTTTGAGTTGACTCTGTTAATGTGATATCATTTATTGCCTTGCATATGTTGAAACATCCTTGCATCTCTGGGAGGAATCCCACTTGATAATGGTGAATGACCTTTTAGTGTGCTGTTGGATTCAGTGTACTAGTATTTTGTTGATGATTTTTATATCTATATTCATCAGAGATATTGGCCTGTAGTTATCTTTTTTTGTTATGTTCTTATCTGGTTCTAGTATCAAGGCAATGTCAGACTTATAGAATGACTTTGGGACTATTCACTTCTCTTTAACTTTTTTGAAATACAACTGTCCCCTTGTATATACAAAGGATTGGTTTTTGAACTCTTGCATATAATAAAATTTGTACATACCCAAGTACTGCAGTCAGCCCTGCAGGAGCTGCATATACAAAAAGTTGGCCCTCCATATATATAGATTTCACATCCCACAAATACTGTATTTATTTGAGTTTGGTTTTAAAAACCCACATATAAGTGGACCTACACAGTCCCAACCCATGTTGTTCAAGGGTTAACTGTAGTTTGAAAATAATTGGAAATAGTTCTTTAAATGTTCCACAGAATTCAGCATTGAAGACATCAGGTCCTGAGTTTTTCTAGAAAACATTCATATTTACTGTTTCAATCTTGTTACTCATTATTGGTTGGATCACACTTTCTATTTCTTCATAACTGTGGTGGGTTGTGTGTGTCCGGCGATTCATCTGATCTTCTAAGTTTCCTAATTTGTTGGTGTACAGTTGTTCATAATAGTCTTTTATGACCCTTTGTATTTCTGTGGTGTTAGTTGTAATACCTCCCGTTTCATCTCTGATTTATTTGGTTCTTCTGTTTTTTCTTAGACTAGCTAAAGTTTGTCAATTTTGTTTATCTTTTTAAAAACGAACTCTTTTTTAAGTTGATCTTTGGTATTGCTTTTTTAGTCTCTACTTCATTTATTTATGCTTTGATTTGTATAAATTTTTCTTTCGAGTAATATTGGGTTTAGCTTGTTCTTGCTTTTATAGTTTCTTGAGAAGCAACATTGGGTTGTGATATTTCTTTCTTTTTTAAATCTTGGTATATATTATTATACAAGTCCATAACTGTTTTCCATAAGAATGTTGTGTTTTCATTTCTGTTTGTCCCAAAATATTCTTTCAATTCTGTTTAGTTTCTTCACTGACACAAGAGCATGTTGTTTAATTTCCATGTATTTGTATTTTACTTTTATAGGTTATTATTTTATTTGTTAACCTTTAAGTTTGGGGAAAAAAAAGTTTGGGGTACGTGTGCAGGTTTATTATATAGGCAAATTGCAAGTTGTGGGGGTTTGGTGTACACATTATTTCATCACCCAGGTAATAAACACAGTACCCAAAAGGTAGTTTTTCAATCCTCACCCTCTTCTGACCCTCCACCCTTAAGTAGGGCCCAGTATCCATTGTTCTCTTCTTTGTGGCCATGTGTGCTCAATATTTAGCACTCATTCTTAAGTGACAACATACAGTATTTGCAGTATTTGATTTTCCATTTCTGTGTTAGTTCGCTTAGCATAATGGCCTGCAGTTCCATCTGTGTTGCTGCAAAGGACATAATGTCATTTCTTTTTATGGCTGTGCAGTATCCCATGGTGGGTATGTACCACATTTTCTTTATCCAGTCTACCCTTGATGGGCACTTAGGTTTATTCCATGCTTTGCTATCTATTGTGAATAGTGCGTGTGCCTTTATGGTAGAATGACTTATATTCCTTTGGTTGCATACCCAATAATGGAATTGCTGGGTCGAATGGTGTATTAGTCTGTTTTCATGCTGCTGATAAAGACATACCTGAGACTGGGCAATTTTCAAAAGAAGAGGTTGAAAGGACTTACAGCTCCACGTGTTTTGGGAGGCTTCACAATCATGGCAGAAGGCAAGGAGGAGCAAGTCACATCTTACATAGATGGCAGCAGGCAGAGATGAGAGAGACCTTGCGCAGGGAAACTCCTCCTTATAAAACCATCAGATCTCGAGACTTATTCACTATCACGAGAATAGCACAGGAAAGACCTGCCCCCGTGACTCAATTACTTCCCACTGGATCTCTCCCACAACACATGGGAATTAAAGATAAGGTTTGGGTGGGGACACAGTGAAACCATATCACATGGTAACTCTGTTCCTAGTTCCTTAAGAAATCACCAAACTGTTTTCCACAGTGGATGAACTAATTTATATTCCCACTAGCAGTTTATAAGCATTCCCATTCCTATACAACCTTGCCTGCATCTGCAATTTTTTGACTGTTTAGTAATAGCCATTTTGACTTGTGTGAAATGGTATCTCACTGTGGCTTTTATTTGCATTTCTCTAATGATCAGTGATGTTCAGAATTTTTTCATGTTTGTTGGCCACGTGTATGTCTTCTTTGAAAAGTGTTCATGTCCTTTGCCTACTTTTTAATGGGGTTGTGCTTTGCTTGTTAATTTGTTGAAGTTCCTTATAGATTCTGGATATTATACCTTTGTTGGAGGCATAGTTTGCACATATTTTCTCCCATTGTGCAGGTTGTCTGTTTACTCTCTTACTGTGCAGAAGCATGCCAGTTTAGTTAGTTCCTACTTATCAATTTTTGTTTTTGATGCCATGCTTATAGTGTCTTTGTCATGAAGTCGTTACTGGGTCTTAAGTCCAGAATGGTATTTCCTGGGTTATCTTCCAAGGTTTTTATAGTTTTCATTTTTACATTTAACTTTTGAATCCATCTTGAGTTGATTTTTGTATATGGTGTAAGGAAGGGGTCGAGTTTCAAACTTCTGCATATGGCTAGCCAGTTATGCCTGTACCATTTATTGAATAGAGAGTCCTTTCCCCGTTGTTTTTGTCAACTTTGTCAAAGAGAAGATGGTTGTAGGTGTGTGGCATTATTTCTGGGCTCCATTTTGTTTTGTTGTTGGTCTATGTGTCTGTTTTTGTGGCGGTATCATATTGTTTTGGTTACTGTAGCCCTGCAGTATTGTTTGAAGTTGGTTAATGGGATCGCTCCAGCTTTGTGCTTTTTGCTTAGGATTGTTTGGGCTATTCTGGCCCTTTTTTGATTCCATATGAAATTTAAAATAGCTTTTTCTAATTCTGTGAAAAATGTCATTGGTGGTTTGCTAGGAATAACATTGAATCTTTAAATTGCTTTGAGGAGTGTGGCCGTTTTAACAATATTGATCCTTCCTACCCATGAGTGTGGAATATCTTTCCTTTTGTATCATCACTGATTTCTTTCCACAGTGTTTTTAAATTCTGTTGTAGAGATTTTTCACCTCTCTGGTTAGCTGTATTCTTAGGTATTTCATTGAATTTGTGTCTATTGTCAGTGAGTTCTTTTCTTGATTTGGCTATCAGCTTGGAGGTTTAGTGCGTAGAAATGCTACTGATTTTATATCCTGAAACTTTGCCTTAAGTTGTTTATCAGGTCTAGGAGCCTTTGGGCAGAGACTACGGGCTTTTCTAGGTATAGAATCATATTGTCTGTGAAGAGAATGAGTTTGTCTTCCTCTTTTCCTATCTGGATGCTTTTTATTTCTTTCTCTTGCCTGATTTTTGGGTCTAGGACTTCCAGTGTTATGTTGAACAGAAGTGGTAAGAGTGAGCATCCTTGTTTTTTTTCAGTGCACACATGTGGTGGTGGGAGAGGGCACACAAGTTCTGCCTGCAAGTGTGCCTACAATGTAATGGGGAAAGCTTCCAGCTTTTGTCTAATTAGTATAATACTGGCTGTGTGTTTGTTATAGATGGCTCTTATTATTTTTATGTATGCTCCTTTTATGCAATGTTTGTTAAGTTTTTAACATCAAGGGAGGTAGAATTTTACCGAAAGTGTTTGCTGCCTCTATTCAGAGGATCATGTGGTTTTTATTTCTAGCTCTGTTTATAAGATAAATTATATTTATTGATTTGCATATGTTGAACCACCACTGCAACCCAGGGATAAAGCCTACTTGATTGTGATGGATTACCTTTTTAATATGCCGCTGGATTTGGTTTGCTAGTATTTTGTTGAAGACTTGTGAATCTATGTTAATCAAGGATATTGGCCTGAAGGGTGGTTTCATTTGCTGTGTCTCTGCCAGGTTTTAGTATCAGGATGATGCTGGCCTCCTAGAATGAGTTAGGAAGGAGTCCCTCCTCCCCAATTTTTTGTAATAGTTTCAGTAGAAATTGCACCAACTCTTATTTATACGTCTGGTAGAATTTGGCTGTTTCTGTTTGGTCCTTTGTTGGTAGGCTTTTTATTACTGATTCAATTTTGAAAGTCAATATCGGTCTATTCAGTGATTCAGTTTCTTTCTGTCTCAGTCTTTGGAGGCTATATATTCCCAGGAATTTATCCATTTCTTCTAGGTTTTCTAGCTTATGTGCATAGAGGTGTTCATAGTAGTCACGGAGGCTTTCTGTATTTCTACTGTGTTTCTGATCGTGTTTATTGGGATTTTCTCTCTTTTTTTGTCTAGCTAGCAATCTACCTTATTTATTCTTTCTGAAAACAAACTCATGGACTCAATCTTTAGTATGATTTTTCATGACTCAATTTTCTTTACTTCAGCTCTGATTTTGGATATTTGTTTTCTGTTGGCTTTGGGGTTTCTTTGCTGTTGTTTTTCTCATTCCTCTAGGTGTAATGTTAGGTTGTTATTTTGAGGTTTTTCTAACTTTTGAAGTAGGTATTAGTGCTATATTTCTTTCTTAACACTACTTTAGCTGTGTCCCAGAGATTCTGGTATATTGTATCCTTGTTCTCATTAGTTCCAAATAATTTCTTGATTTCTGCCCTAATTTCACTGTTCACCCAAAAGTCATTCAGGATTAGGTTGTTTAATTCCCATGTGATTGTATGATTCTGAGAGATTTTCTTAGTATTGATTTTTATTTTATTACAATGTAGTCTGTGAGGGTGGTTTGTATCACTGCAGTTTTTTTTTAATTTGCTGAGGATTGTCTAATGTTCAGTTTTGTAGTTGATTTTAGAGTGTGTGCCACGTTCAGGTGAGAAGAATGTATATTCTGTTGTTTTAAGGTGGAGAGTTCTATACATGTCTACTAGGCCCATTTGGTGAAGTGCTGAGTTTAGGCCCTGAATATTTTTGTTAGTTTTCTGTCTCAGTTTTCTGTCTAACACTGTCATTGTGCTGTTGAAGACTTCACCTCTTATTGTGTGGTTAACTAAGTCTCTTCATAGGTGTCTGAAAACTTGCTTTATGAATCCCGATGCACCTGTGTTGGGTGCATTTTAGTATAGTTAGATATTCTTGCTTAACTGCATTCTTTATCGTTAATGCCATGCTCTTCTTTGCCTTTTTAAATCATTGTTTAAAGTCATACTGTATGAAATTAGAATGGCAATCCCTGTTTTTTTTTTTCTGTTTTTTGTTTGCTTGGTAGATTTTTCTCCATCCCTCTACTTTGAATTTATGGGTGTCCCAATATGTGAGATGGGTCCCTGGAAGACACCATACAGTTGGTTCTTGCTTCTTTACTTTCCACTCTGTGCCTTTTAACTGGGGGCATTTAGCCCATTTACATTCAAGGTTAATATTGATATGTGTAGATTTGATCTTTTCATTGTGTTGTTAGCTGATTATTAAGCAGGCTTATTTGTTTGGCTGCTTTATAGTGTCAATGATCTATGTTCTTCAGTGTGTTTTTGTAGTGCCAATAATAGTCTTCCTTTCCATATTTAGCACTCTCTTCAAGACCTCTTGTAAGGCAAGTCTGGTGGTAACAAATTCCCTTAGCGTTTGCTTGTCCGAAAAGGATCTTATTTCCCAATCACTTACAAAGTTTAGTTTAGCTGGATATGAAATTGTTGGTTGGAATTTCCTTTCTTTGAGAATGCTGAATTTAGGCCCCCAGTCTCTTCCAGATTCTAGGATTTCTGCTGAGATGTCCACTATTAGCCTGATGGGGTTCTTTCTGTAGGTGAACCCTACAGAAATTGAATCTTTAAATTGCTTTCAAGCAATTTATAGCCATTCATGTTAGCCAGGATGGTCTCGATCTCCTGACCTCATGATCCGCCCGCCTCGGCCTCCAAAAGTGCTGGGATTACAGGCGTGAGCCACTGTGCCCGGCCTTTTTTTTTTTTTTTTACTATTTCTATCTTTCTCTTTCTTTCTCTCTTTGACTCCCTCTTTGTCTCTCTGCCTCTTTCTCTTCTCTGTCTCTCTCCTCTCTGCCCCTTCTCTCTAGCTGCCTTTAACATTTTTTTTCTTTCATTTTAACCAAGGAGAATGCGATGACTATATTTTCTTGAGATGGTTGTTTTGTATATCAATAGTATCTGGCAAGGGTTCTCTGCATTTCCTAAATTTGAATGTTGACCTCTCTAGCAAGATAGGGGAAATTTTTATGGGTGATATCCTGAAATATGTTTTTCAAGTTGATTGTTTTCTCTTTCAGAGATGCCACTCTGACGTAGATTTGGTCTCTTTAGATAATCCCATATTTCTTAGAGGTTTCGTTCAGTCTTCTTTAATCTTTTTTTCTTTATTTTTGTCTGAATGAGTTATTTTAGAGAATCAGCCTTCAAGGTCTGAGATTCTTTCCTCAGCTTGGTTGATTCTCTTAATTTTATTGGTTGATGATGAGAGTGGGTCATTCCTTGCCGTTTCACTCACCCCTGCCCCAGGAGTCACTAGCAGGCAGGAACAAATCCCAGTGCTTGGTAGCCCTGTGCAGGGTTTGCAGCTTCCTCCCCATTCAGCCCAGCATCTGTGTCCTGCCTCTATCCACTTTCAATTTTATAATTCGTTGATTCTCATAATTTTATTCGGAAATTTTTGAAGTAAGATTTTCAGCTCTTTCACATCAGTTTGATTCTTTCCTAAAATGGCCATTTTGTCTTTTATCTCCTGTATTATTTTGTTCAATTATTTCTTAGAATAATTGAATTGAGTTTCAACTTTCTCCTGAATCTCGATGATCTTTGTTCCATATTCTGATAGAATTCCATATTCTGAATTCTATTTCTACCATGTCAGCCATTTCAGCCTGGTTAGAAACCACTGCTTGGGAACTAGTGCAGTTGTTTGGAGGTAAGCAGATACTCTGTTGTTTTGAGTTGCCAGAGTTCTTGTGCTGGTTCTATCTCATCTCTGTGGGATGATGTTCCTTCAATCTTTGAATTTGATGTCCTTTGGACGAGTCTTTTTTCTTCTTTTGCCTTTTCTGATGCCCTTTGGGGTTTCATTTTGGTATAAGGTGTATTCAGTTGACTGGCTGCCTTTCTGGAAGATTTCAGGGGGACAAGGCTTGGTTTAGCACTCCTGGGCTGCCTGCTCTAACACTGAGGGGTTGATGTTGGGCTCCCAGCTTTGTTCTCTGGCCCCTTGAGGTTAGAAGCATGCTATGCTGGCGGGGCTGAGATGTTCCCGGACTGTTCACTGCAGCAGTCAGATGTTTGGTGTCATCCAAAGTGCTTCATTGAGGCAGTGGCAGTGGGTTCCATTCTATTTTGCATGTCCCAACAGCAGCCACATGGCAGGGTGCAAGTGTGGTGTCTGGGGCAGGGTACTGGTGGGAGCAAGTCTGTGCCATTCCTGTGCACTTGCATACCAGCAGTGGTTGGGGGAGCAGGGGGCTGTTGGGCATGGGGCTGCTGGCCTCCATGCATGTATTTCAGCAAAAGTAGTGGTGGTTCAGTGGGGCTGATGCTGTCAGTCTCCAGTGCACATCTACAGTCATGGTGGCCATGCAGCAGGTGCAAGGTTGTCAGCATCTGTGTGTATATTTGTGCAGGCAATGACCACGCAGCCCAGGGGACAGGATGCGCTCATGCTGGCATCAGTGGTGAGACAGTGTTCGAGTGCACACATGTGGTGGTGGAAGAGGGCATGCAAGTTCTGCCTGTGAGTGTGCCTACAATGAGAGGGGGGTGTAAGGAAAAGTGGTTCAGTGGAGGCTGGGGGAATGGTAGGGGTGGGCTAGTATGCATTAACAGGGCCACTGTACTGGAGGTCTGACAGGTACATTTTGCTCTTGAAGAAGCTATGAGGGCCCCCAGGAAGCACCCCAGTTGAGTATCCAAGACTGTATTGTAAGTGGGCACTGCCAGGCTGGGGCCCTAGGGGAGGCCAGCAGATGGGGGTTCTCAGATCAGACTGCCCCTTTTCAAGGGCAAGACTGCCCTGCTCTGTACACGTCCAACAGCCCCCTAAAGAGTAAAGTCTCCTAGAACAGCATAGTGACACATGGGGAATGGGCATCCCTGGTCATGCTCCACTGAAGGCATTTCTGCACCAAACTCTCTGGACCCTGCAGAGTCTGGAGTCTTTCCCCTACGACATCTCTAAGGAGCTCCCTGGAAGCTCAAGTATCTGTGGGGGTCATGGGGTCTCCTGGTGCCAAGATTTCAGTTGCTCATGATGAGAGTGGGTCATTCCTTGCCGTTTCACTCACCCCTGCCCCAGGAGTCACTAGCAGGCAGGAACAAGTCCCAGTGCTTGGTAGCCCTGTGCAGGGTTTGCAGCTTCCTCCCCATTCAGCCCAGCATCTGTGTCCTGCCTCTATCCACTTTCAATGCCTTCCCTCCAAATATCTGCTCTGAGTGTGTCAGTCTTCCCAACATCCCAGTCTCTCATGGACAGATGTTTCTCCTGGCTGCATGTAGTCAGCCATCTTCAATCCCGCCTCCACGTTTACTTTTAAAAGTTGCTAAATTTATCCCGTTATTGATTTCTAGTTTTATAGCATTACAGTCAGAAAAAGATACTTGATTTTGAATTTGATCTCCTTAAATTAGTTAAGACTTCTTTTGTGGCCTGTCATACAATCTATCCTGGAGAATCTTCTATGTGCAGTTATGAAGAATGCATAGTCTATAGCTGTTGAATGGAATATTCTGTAACCATCTCTTAGGTTAGGTATATTTGGTGAAGAGTGCAGTTTAAATTCAATGTTTCTTTGTTGATTTTCTCTCTTATTTGTCCATTGTTGAAATTGGGCTGTTGAGGTACACTACTATAGTGCAGTCTATCTTTTCCTTTGGATGTATTAATATTTGCTTTATACATTAAAGTGCTCTAATGTTGAGTACATATTTAAAATTGTTCATTATTTTGCTGAATTGAACCCTTTATTACGATATAATGACCTTCTTTATCACTTTTTACCATTTGTGACTTAATCTATTTTATCTGATATAATGTAGTTATTACTGCTTTCTTTTGGTTTCCATTTGCATGAAATGTATTTTTATAGTCTTTCAATTTCAGTCTATGGGTGTCCTTACAGGTGAAGTGAGTCACAGGCAGCATATAGTTAGGGTTTTTAAGAAAATTTTATTAAGCCACTTTATGTATTTTTAACTGGGTAATCCATTTGCATTAATGGTGATATTTGATAAGGAAGGACTTACTAATGCCACTTTGTGAACTGCTTTCTAGTTGTTTTATTGATCTTCCTTTTTTTCTTCTCCTACGTTCTTCTCTGGTGGCTAAGTGATTTTTTCTCTAGGAATATTTTGATTTCTTGCTTTTTGTTTAGTGTATCTAACATAGCTTTTTGCTTTGTGTTAAACAGAAGAATTATAAAAAACATGTTATAATTATATGGGTTATTTTAAATTGATAAATTTGTTCACAAAAAAAAGAAAATAAAAATACAGGAAAAATCTACCATTTAGTTTATCTTCCCCCAATTCTTAATGTTTAATATCACAATTTACATTTTTATATTGTATTTTTCTTAATGAATTAGAGTTATCTATGTTCTTAATAGTTTTGCCTTTTTACCTTCGTACTAAAGATGTGATTTGTACACCACCATTACATTATTAGAGTATCCAGAATTTGATTGTGTAATTTATTTTTTCCAGTGAGTTATATACTTTCAGATGTTTCTGGTGTACTTATTACTGTCCTTTTATTTCATCTTGAAGAATTCCCTTTAGCATTTCATGTAAGATAATTGTGGTGGTAAATAATTTCCTCGCCTTTCATTGGGGAAATTGACTGGTGAGAACTGTAAGCCCATTACCACTTCAGCTGTGACAGCTCTAAAGGGAAATGTAATCCCAGGACCACCACAGTCGGAATCCTTTGGCCTCCAAGGGTAACACAGTGCTGGATTGCACCTAAAGCCAATGACCACCTAGACCTGTGCAGCACTGGGACATGCCCAAGGCCTACTGCTGCTATGGCTTGCCTACCACTGAGGGTTATTCAGGGCTGGAGGCTGCTGTAGTTACCTGGTGGTAATGTGGGCTGGATCTTGAATTCTTCTTGCCAGGGCCACTGGTTTCATTATGGCCCAGGGCTGGGCCTAGAGGCTTCATCTTTGGCCACGGGGTTCTGCTCAGTACTCAGCTTTACTGAGGTGGGCCCCAGGCCTGTGTTGTGAGGCAAAGTGTTATGCTTGCTTTTCTCTCCTCTCTTCAAGTCAAAGGTGTCTATTTATGTGCTGTTCTTCCTGGAGTTTGGGGATAGTCAACATAGTTAATACCATGGCCACCAACGCTGATGTAATGTTGGGTCTCATCCAAAACCCACTGCCACTGAGAGCTGTGCAGCACTGGGGCATGTCTAAGGCCCGCAGGTGCTATGGCTGCCACTGAGGTTTCTTCGGGGCTTGAGGTAACTGCAGTTGGTCAGTGATGATGCAGGCAAGAACAAGAGTCTATATAGCCAGGGTTACAGGTTCTTTTCTGATGCCAGGGAGGGTCTAGAAGCTCCATTTGCAGGTATCAGCCTGGCGTCAGGAGCCTAAGGGTTCTGCCCAGTACCGTGTTTAACTGTGTTGGGCTCAGTACTTTGTTCCAAACCAAGGTCCTCTTTCTTCCCCCAAGCAGATATTGACTCTCTCTTCACTCTGCTGCTGTGGGTTGGTGAAAGAGTGATTCCGGTAATGTAAACCTGTCCTTGTAGGTTCTTCAGTGCTTCTTTTCTTCTTATTATTATGCTACAACCAGGAACATTGCCATTGATATATTCTTGAAAATTGCCACTTTAAGAGAAAAGACGTACAGCAGGTTCTGGAATAACATTGTTTCATTCAACATTATTTTGCTATAACACTGATGAAGAAAAAAAAATGGATTTCCTGAATTCTTATGAAGGTTTTCTGGTGCGTGGATAGTTGTTCAGATTGATGTTTCTTTGGGGGAACAATCCCTGGAGAAGTTTACTTCACCATCTTGTCCAGCTTTTTGGTATAGGAATTATTAAAGATTGAATAATAAGTGTGTAAAAATCCATAACAAATATAGATTAGCATAAATAAAAAAATACGGAGTTTGAAGTTTTAGCTTCCATAGAAGAGCTATTATCAATTTCTATTAAATTATCACCCAGTCTGAAATGAAGTTTTGAGTTACCGTTGGTAAATGGCTTGCCTATTCCAATAAGTATTTGCATTTTGGAAACAGGTTATAACAAAAAGTAACTCATGCACAGTTTGTCTACCAGCCCATCTGGGAATTTAGAAGTTTATTTCTCATTACTGCCAAGGTTGGTATTCAAAGCTGGTAATAAATGAAGAAACAGTGGACATCAGGCTCAGAAAGATTCACTCCTGAAATTAAGTAGTTATCTGGACAAAGAGAATGTATTTCATTTGTTGCTTTCTTTGCTTTTTTCTATTTTACAAACTATACTAGGAGATCAGATGGATCTTTAAATAGATAAGGTTTAATGGTCATAAAAAGGGCAAACTTAGCTACCATTTTACCTGCTGGCTGCTTACCTTTTTAAAAATCAGCTAAGTGGATAGCATTAGGAGAAATACCTAAGGTAGATGATGGGTTGATGGGTTGATGGGTGCAGCAAACCACCATGGCACATGTATACCTATGTAACAAACCTGCACATTCGGCACATGTATCCCGGAACTTAAATAAAAAAAAAAAAAGAAGTGTAGGCTCATTTCAAGATACATTTCTCCTAATTGCATTTCGGAGGAAATGTTTTTCAGAGCAGCTCTTTTAGAGAAGGCCAAAGTCCAAGTATAGGAAATCTTAAATGCACTTAGATGATCCTCATTGCTTCTTAGAATGGAAAAATAAATATGACTGATTGATTAAGGGAAGAATTTGGCTTTCCTTCAAGGAATAAGTAGGTAGTAAAAAAAATCAGCTAAGTGTGATATTTTTCCATTTAAAATCATTTATGAAACTGATTTTATAGTAAACTGTTATTATTTTGTTATTTTATAGTAAACTGTTATTATTTTATTAAAGAAAAAAATAATGTCAGGTTAGTAAATAATAGAATCATATATAATATATCTAAGAGGAATGATCAATAATTTAAATAACTGTGTGAACAAAACTCAATGCCCTTTAAAGAGAATGACTCTCCACAATGTATCACTCATAATGTCCATTGTCCAACTACAAATTGTTGTCTAGGCATAAAAATAGTAGAAAAATGTGTTCCATAATCAAGGTGAGAATATCAATATTTGAAAAGTGATTATCATACCCTAACTTGAATCTGTGTTTTATGAGGATGTTACTGTGGCATTTTTCTCAGTGGGAATCTTAAGCCTTTAAAGACTGCCAAAAATAGGTTGCTATGTTGACTTCACACTTCTGATTTTCTAATCTGGTACAAGTTTCCCAACAGGTTCAATTTAATTGTAATCATATATCTATGACTCAGTTGTATGTTCACTAATACCTATATAGCATCTAATATCATCTACTATCTGTATATACTAGTTCTCATTTAATTAACTTATGCTTCTTCCTTATTAGTTTTTTATTGCTAGTCTTAAAATTTACTAGTTTTCCATTATCATCTTCTCTGATATGCTGTCCCTTGGCCCAAATTTGAAGAGCCCACGAACTATAACAACTTTCTATTCTGTTTTCCAAGACTTTATTTACTATAAACTCTTTATGCCGAGGAACATTTACTATATCCAGCACTTTAATGTCTATAGACAGAACTCCAGCAATCAGACAGCAAGCCTAAAATCTATGTAATAATACTGTCACACTTGTTTTGATTCTGTTATTCCTATAGCTGTGTGAAAGAATGTTCTGTTTTTTTCTGTAGTAAATAAGTATAATTATTTTAGTTATACATATTTAGAACGAAAACATCAGATACAATTCAAATTTCTTAGATTGAGGAATACATATTTCTATTATCTAAAATAAATCAAGTTTTCAAATTTCAGATGCTCCCCAAATGCTATATGCTACCACAATAACACCTAGCTAATTATCACACTATATCTTTGACCGTGCCATTTCCAAGTTATTGCTCCTTGGTTTTCTAAAAATTTCAAAGCCCAACTTAAATTTTATCTCCCCTTGGAAGCTTTCCCTTCTAATAAATACTTCTATCTGCTTATTTTCTCTCCATCCATACAACAATAAACTTCATATTTTTTTCATAAACAACTATGCTCACAATTATGTACATAAAATGCGAGCAAATTAATATATGAAGACTTTCAGCAATTGGACAAAATGTGAAAATGCAGATATTTTCAGATTTCCTTGTGTTCTGTGAGTAGTAAAGGAAGTTGTGCCTAGTGTCTCTCCCCCTCCCCACCCCCACACACAGATAAGAAAGAATGTCATTAAATTAAGTCGTGGCAAAAACAAAATCTATGCTTAATAGCATTCTAATTGATCTCATGAACGTTTAAAATTTCTAAATAAAAGAATGAAAACTAAGTCTTTAAAAATATTTTGCTATCTTTAGTATCTCCTATAGTTACCTACTTTTAACATTGTAACATTATCTTTATTCCTCTTCCCCTTTACCTCTACTTATTTTCCAGTTCTTTTCACCTTTTTATAATCAAAGGCGAATTTAAAAGTTCAAAACTATAATAATGAGATGGGTAAGGCAAATCATAATTTATTTCAATAAATTGTCAAAGTAGAACAGCTTTGTAACCCCAATGATTTGCTTTTTGCAGAGAAGCTAAAGGCTAGCTTTACAGTAATAAGATTGATAGAACTTTCTAAAGACTGATAAAATTGAAAGCTTCGTGATCACTCTTTCTTCAACTATTTCTTCTCAGCCGACGATATTTTTTTCCTCTAATATCTGATCTGCTGCATCTTGGTATTCTATCTAGGTTTCAAATGCTTTTCACTGTGAGTCAATTTTATTCAGTGTTCAGGATTCTCTTATCTGCTGCTTAAAAGGTAACTTATTTAGTTGCATTTTTTTCCTAGAAGAAGCATATCAATAAAGGGGAGAATATTGTTTTTTCAGTTTCCCCCTGGGAAGATAAAACTCAGTAATCTTTTTGCATAGCAGAGATAAAAACAGACAAATGTAGTCAAGCCCACACAATACACAAGAGAATTCAATTTGATGTCCCATGAGGCCCATGGAAAGTAAATGCATGCATTCTCTCCGCTCAACAATTTAGATCCAATCAAGACGAATTGCACATTTACATGAAAATTCATGGTAGAAAAAACAGGATATTTACTTTTACTTTTCAGATGCTTTTGATGCAGCAATAACAGGAATATTAGTGATAATGCATTTCAAAATATAACTCATTTAACAAATCCTTACTGTAACACAGAGGCCTCTCAAAGGAGAAACTGCAGGTCTTGAATAACAAAATTGAGTCATGCCTTTCATGCTGAACTCCTATGTTCTTTAAAGTGCACAGCCCATCATTAACATTCAATATTAAATAACCATGAGTACCAGTTCACATCTAACAGTACTCCTTTCTCCATCGACCTTCATCCATCCACATGTTAAACTCTAGCAGGATCATCAATTTAACTGGAGAAAAACCGACCTTTCATGTTTCTTTTATTCTACTTGGGTAAAATCTGAAAAATATTCATCTCTTTTGCAAGCTTTCTTCAGGGCTTCCTTTCCATAAATTACCATAAAAGCCAAACCTGGATGAATCAATAGGCTTTACCCAACATATCAGATGTGCTGAAACAGAGACAGGTAAAAAATTATCACAAGTCATCAATAATAAATTAGTTTGTCTGCAGTAGTGATATCAGGCCAATGTGAGGAAGGACTTACTCCTGAGCTATTAATCCTATCATAAGAAAATTCCAGTGATGAAAGATACAATTTAAGAACAAAAATGTGTTCGTCAAATTATTTTCCTCTTACTTTCATCAAGTCAATTAACTGAAAAAAATACTTTAAATTCTTTCTTCCACTCAACTGTTTTAGGTACTTCTGCCAAAAAATAGGACCACAGTGTGCTATACAGTCTCCTATAGGAAATTAATCAGAGATTCTGTGAACCCACAGAAGTGACACTGAAATTAGAGTAGATTTGAGATTTCAAAAGGAATCAATGTAGTAGGAAAACAGCGGGTGGCAAATTGATTTCAAAATAGCAAAACAAGCTGTAGGAATCTGTGAGTCAGAAATGGATATTTAAAATATATTATTTTGAAGTAATTATAATAGCCTGTAGACTATTAGTAAAACCATTTTACATTCTAATCACTAACAATGTCATAATTTCTTAATTAAATATAATACATATAAAGTCTATATCATGAGAAACTATAGTTTTCTCATTGCCAGAAACAATCAATCCATGTCTAAAGAAGTACCTTTAGTTTGTATTCGTTGCCATTTTAAAAGTGTGGATAGAATGATGAGTACACTATGAATATCACAAGAGCAGTTGAAGAGGCAAGCATTAAAAGATGGACAGAAAAATCTCAAACATTGGGAGAATAGTTATATGTTGCTACTGAATGTAGAAAGGGGATTATGAGGACAACACTAAGGGTGGGAGTGGATTACAATGTGTATAAGAAAGAATTCCATCACAGAGAGTACTGCCTTCCACAATGCCATGGTCTGCCTTCTAATCTTCCAAATTCCATCTCTCTGAAGTTGTTCCATCAGAAGCAAGACATCTGCAAAACTTACTATGGATGAGTATCCCTTTCTCTGTATAGAACTCACTAAATGACTTCAGTATCATGTCAGAAACAGATATTTCAACTCTACACTCTGTCATTTTTCTATTCTACTTCTAATCAACTGTAAACAAAATGGGCATAACTAAGAGAACATTTTCTAGAGATGTTTATAAAGTTTTGTTTTGAAGTTAGAAAATAATTTACTTTGAATTTAACTTTAGCGATAATTCGTGATCATTTTTTCACTACCCTCTTCAACTTCTGTCAACAACACATTAGACTAGCCCACAGTTCCTAAATCAGTATTTGTCAATTCTCTCTCTTTATTAGGAAAGGTAGAAAAATAATAGGTTACAAAATAAAAAGAGTTACCTATTCCTCTAGTCATTTACTTCGGCAGCAATTTCAATGTCTTGTCAGTACCTATGAACAAAATAGAAGGCTCAAGGTGTAGCTACTTAATCTGCTCCTTCTGCACTAAGGCAGAAATGGCTAGCTTCACCATTGCAGACTCTGAAGAAAGTAAAGTTTATAGCCTCACTTTACCAAATATTAACCATTTAGTGGCTTTCCTTGGCTTTAATTCTGGATCAAGTTCTTGAGTACTGTACTTTGTGTACTGTGCACTGAATGAATAACTTTGCATTTGTATTTACGTTATTTTCATTTGGTAATCCAATCTATCTGGAATTACAATGTCTTTGATAAGAATAATATATTTTTAAAAGAGGTCATACATCTTTGCTAAAATGTACTTTTGGAAAATACATGGCCTCTCCCTGCCAGCAGTCACTTTGGGTTAAAAACTAAAAATCAAATCTCTTACTTATGAGTCATGGTTTCAAAAGACCTTCCTTTGTCATTTGCAAGTTAAACAAATATGAATATTACACAGTTTTTTTTTTTACCATTGATTCAGATTATAATTTATAGCTATAGTACCTGCCAGAATATCTCTTAGCTTCCTCTTAGCAACTCTTCCCTTTTCTAATCTATCTCCCTCTGTACTGTAGCCAGGGTGATATTTTCAAATTTGAGCATCTAATCAACTGAAGCTCTTTCTTGCTTAAAATGTTTTAATGTCTTTGAATCCCTCAAAGAACCCACACAACCATATCTGTTTTCGCCTACCCCTCCAGTCTCATCTCACATCTCCCTCTCTTCTCTTGCCATATTGCTATCAGTTTCTATTTCCGCCAACCATTAGCTATCATTTGAAACCCTCCTCCTATGATATCCTTCTCCCTCTCTACTATACACACAAAAATACTTTATCTTTCAGATAACTTCCTTGGGGTGAGGGGATCTATGCTGACTTCAGTTTATGTCAATTTATTTTTGTTAAGGGCTCTCAAAAAATAATGTTTTCTTTCTTTTGAAGTTCTTATCTTGAATGTTATTTGTGTATTCAATAGTGGAATTGTTTAATTGATGCCCATTTCATATACTAGCAAAGCTTCTTCACTGTGACATTGCTAGCATTTGGGCTGAGTAGTATTTTATGATGGAGGCTGTCTTGTGCACTATAGTATATTTAGCAGCATTTTTAGCCTCTGTCCACCAGATTCTAGTACCACACTTCCCTCCCCACCACAACTAGAGTGTGACAACCGTAAATGTCTCCAGATACATTCGCATATATTGCACCAGGGTACAGTTACCAAACCATTAACTCTATGAATGTAGTGACCTATTTTTTGCTCATTATTTTATTCCTATGCCTAAGATAGTGCTGAGTTTTAGTGGGTACTTAATAAATATGTTTAAATGATAAATGTTGAGTCATGAAGTTTTTTTATAGCAGAATTTGAAAACATACCTTGTCAAAATGTGAGAGCCATGAAAAATGCATCTAGCCATTTATTTTAAAAGCTTTCAAAAAAAAGCTTTCAAATGCTAAGAGAATTGCATACTACTGTCTATACAAAAAGGAAAAGTTAATCTAACTATGCTTCAAGCATTTTTTCAAAAAGCAAAACATTTAAAACATTGTGATGTAGGAATATGTGAAAAATCTACCATTTAATAAAGTTACCCTCTTTCAAATTACTTTACCACTACTTAAAGGAGGACGTATAGAGTTGTTCATGTTGATAAAGGTAAAATATTATACTTGCCTCCGCATATTTCCTTAGCTCAATCTGATTTTAAAGTAATAAGCTGAAACTTATTTTCTACATGACTGAATACATAGATTAAGTTTGGGCTGGTAAAATTACTATCTGGTCTTACCAGTGTTTAATGTTTTTAAACATTTAACCATTGAACAAAAGATGGGTACTATACTTCAAGGGAATTATGCCTTTATCTCTCCTGGTTTTTTAATTCAAAATAGAAGCTTGACTAATGTTTATACAAATATGAATAAAAATTCAGATCAATTAAGTCAAAAGATTTTGTTGTGATAAGAATAACTTTACCAGTCTATCTTTAATTCATCATACAAGACCCAGTGTTCTGAAGCTGTGTTACCAGATGCATTATAATTAAGTTAATAATGGATATAATAGTGATTTATTTGAATGCATCCACTTCAACTATTCTCTCAAGTCCTGTATACCTGTAAGTAATTTATCTGTTCTTAGATTTGTTTGGTATTCAGAATAGAATTATCACTTTGGATGAAACAAGACACAGTTTTATAAATGTTGTATAAAGAGTTCTGGGAAACAACATGGAAACCATTTATTTTACTAAATACACTGGAACTGGCTCTTTAAAAGTATAGTATCCTGAAATTAAGAGACTCACCAAAATTTTCTGGGTATATAGCTGTGAGTTAGGTAGAATAGTTAAGGAAATAAGACACAATCTGGAAACATTTTTTTTTCTCTTTCAGTTCTACCAGACTTCAATGCTTTAATATTTATCTCTTGAACACTTTGCATTTTTCAGTTAAAGTATGCCATCTAACTACAGAAAAATTATCCTTGATATGATTCAAGAGGTGCATGATGCCACTGAAAATAAAATACAAGTTAATTGGGTCAAAGGAAACCAAGCTGATTATCGTACCCACTTTGTAGCTACAATCCCACGTGATAATACATAGGCCTATGAGGAAATATGTACGCTGCTCTGCTAGAGTTGTTTTTACCAGGAAAGTGGAGCTAAATCTTAACACTGGAGTCAGGTTCTGAAATTAAACAAAAAAAAAAATACATATATGCATAATTACCATTCAAAATCTCTTAGGAATGTGTCTTATTGGAAAATACTATTGCTCAATGAAAACATTATACTGGGGACTAACATCTCATATTAATTCCCACCTAGACAATTTTTCCTTTAGCATGGGTACAGATGGCTGCTTATTCAGTGGAGTACCAGAATTAGTCAAAGGTTTGCTTTTAGAGGTCATGAGTTATGACTCATCCTTAGGAGAATGAAGTGCTTCCATTCTGAGAGGCACATGAAAATTCAATCTCCTGAGAGAACATCAGATTCACATCTTTTGCCTCGAGCTGCCTGCAGGATATATGCTTATAAATTAGAGGTGGAAAAAGGCCCATAATAACATTTATATTTTATCTCTAGCTTTGTCCTATACTAAAATTTTCATATACTAAATGCATGTCTTGCCTAGCTACAGAATCACAAAAATGGATTTATTTTCATTTGTATCCTCATATCTAAACATAAATTGGCAAACTATATACACTTACAAATACTTTATTAATGTAAGAGTTTAATCTGATGTTTATGATTTCGATATTTTAAAATTTAACTTGATAAAGTACAAAATTCAATTAGTTACAGGATTATAAAATACATAAACCAAATCTATAGGGTCTATGATGAATTTCCTTTTTTTTCCCTGATTTCAAATCTTCATTCCCTATAAATCCTACCCCACCCGCTTCTTTTATTCAAGAAATTTTATGCTCTCCATTACCCATGGGTTCCCTTCTAAACAATGGCTCTTGTCTTCCATAACTTGACTCTGGTTTACTTTCAACTTTAGACACCACTACTTCTATATACGTACTGGTTTGGTTCTCCTAATCATTGTCACATAATCGTTTTATTTCTTGCATCTTCACAATGTGTTTATCCCATATCTCTGGTCCTAAACGGTCTTCCCACCAATAATTTCCAACTTAACTCCTACCAGCTCTGTTATAACCAAAGCAAGCCTTATGTCCTCTAATTCTGCCAGAATACTTCCCTCTTCTTAGCTCATATGATGACAACTATTAATACCTTGTCATTTTATTGAGAATTCATATTCTAATTAGAGCCAGGTTCTTTTTATATATTATTTTATTCAATACTTAAAGCAGAGAAATAGAAGGATGACTATTCTTATGTTACAAGCAGGATAACATAGGCTGAGAAGTAAATTACTTGAGGTAAAAAAACACTAGGGTAGAGGAGCTGTAACATGAATCAAGAACCCTTTAACCCTCAAATTATGCTCTTTCCACATATACCAAGAAGCCTCACAACATCTTTGTGTGTTCCATTTAGACTTATTAAATTTGCTATGTTATTATTCCTACTGTGTTTTATGTGAGTAATCTCTAATCAACTAGATTTTGATTAATCAAAAGCCATTTCCTAAATATCCTAATGATAGTCCAAAACACAGAAAGTGTTTAATACAATTATTGAGACATTTTCTAATAAGACCACATTGAGTTTTTATGTCTATTTTTTTTTCTGATGCCACCAGCAACAAAGTACAGCAATTCATTTAAAAACAAAACAAAACAAAACAAAAAAACATAGTGTGGAGAAAAAGGAACACCTATACAATGTCGGTGGGAGTGTAAATTAGTTTGACCATTGTGGAAGACAGTATGGAGATTCCTCAAAATCCTAAAGACAGAAATACCATACGATCCAGCAATCCCATTACTGTGTATATACCCAAAGTAATATAAATTGTTCTATTATAAAGACACATGCACACATATGATCATTGCAGCAGTATTCACAACAGCAAAAACATAAAATCAACCTAAATGCCCATCTGTGATAGACTGGATAAAGAAAATGTGATACATATACAACAGAGAATACTATACAGCCATAAAAAGAATGAGATTATGCCGTTTGCAGGAAAATGGATGAACTGGGGGCCATCATTCTTAGCAAACTAATGCAGGAAAAGAAAACCAAATACTGCATGCTCTCACTTAAAAGTGGGAGGTAAATGATGAGAAAGCATGGACACAGAGGGGAACAACACACACTGGAGCCTATTGGAGGGTGGAAGGTAGGAGGAGGGAAGGGATCAGAAAAAATAACTAATGGATGCTAGTCTTAATACCTGGGTGACAAAATAGTCTGCACAACAAGCCCCTCATGATACAAGTTTACTTATGAAACAAACTGGCACATGTACCCCTTAGCTTACAAGCAAAAAAGAAACAACATAAAATAAAAAATTCTGATGGAACTGTTTCTAAACTCTGCTATAATAAAAGCTAATTTTTCACCTGTAGCCCTCAAGTTCCTTATCAGTAAAATGAGCTTAATTGTGAAGTCATTTCTAGCTTTAAAATTTTGGGCCAGGCCGGGCACGGTGGCTCATGCCTGTAATCCCAGCACTTTGGAAGCCTGAGGTGGGCAGATCACTAGGTCAGGAGATCAAGACCGTCCTGGATAACACGTGAAACCCCATCTCTACTAAAAATACAAAAAATTAGCTGGGAGTGGTGGTGTGTGCCTGTAGTCCTAGCTACTTGGGAGGCTGAGGCAGGAGAATTGCTTGAACCTGGAAGAGGGAGGCTGCAGTGAGCCGAGATCGTGCCACTGCACTCCAGCCTGGGCGACAGAGTGAGACTCCATCTCAAAAAAAAAAAAAAAAAAAAAAAAAAAAGAAAAAAAAAAAAACTGGGCCAAACTCCCAGGATTATTAGGCAGTTCAAATGAGATAAATGTAAACAGTCTTCAATATGAAATACTATGTAGATATATAGAACTGTTATTAATTTGGGTTTAAGATTAATACATAAAATAATAAATTCATTTGCAATATGTCCTAATAACTAGGAGACTTGATCGTTTAGTGGCTCTAATTCTCAAAAACGTGTTGAAGTTGAATTGTATTTTTATACAGAAATCAGGTTAAAACCCAATATTATTATACACATTGTTACCAACTTCTGATTTTAAATATTAGAAAACACTATACTAAATACTTATAATAGTTATTTTTTGCATTACTTTCAATATACAGTATATGTGGTAATTGGCTTGTTGACAGCATGTTGGCTTTTAACATTTCCAAATTTAAGTTTTTGTACTTAGTTTTTGGTTTCTCTGTTTTACTTATTTTGTAATAATTTCCAGGGGAAGAAGTCTCAAGTTTTCTTTGAGAGCTTGGCTTTCTCCTTTGATTTCTTCACTTTGTATATGAGAAAAAGAACTGCTTATGGAAATGCAGTATTTCATATTTTAGTAATCAATCAAAAGCAATAAATATTGCACAATCAGCATATTAGCAATGCACTTAGATATCTTATTGATCTCAGGAACATTAACACTACCAGCGTTATGACCACATTCTGCTCTTGGATACATATGCTATTCTCAGTGGCTCGATTTCATTAAGAGCTGTGTTCATATAGGCAAGGGCAAAACTACACTTAAAAATGGACTCAGTAACTGCCTGTAAATTTATTTTAAGAGTTTTATATTTTATTATATATTTGGGATATAGCATGCATACCCTGTATTTCTTGGTAAAAACCTAACTATAAAAAAAAAACCAACAAATGAACCTTTAAAATATGCATTTACTTCTACTGCTCCATTTGGAACTTGTCAAATTTGGTTAATATGAAGTTAACTGTTAACATAATAAAGTACACTGGCCTATATGGATCCTGTGGTGAAATTTCCAATATCATATATGTATTAATTGTGAAGTTATTTGAGTTTGGTACAAGTACACACATAAGAATCCACCGGAAATATAAATACAAGTAAAGCATAACAATTCAGTGAATTCCCTTTGGGATCTGTCAATATGGGGAAAAAAGAGTTATTGGGTTCTGTTATAAAACTCGTTTTGCTAAGGATAGAAAACCAAATACCACAATGTTCTCACTTACAAGCGGGGGCTAAATGATGAGAACACATGGACACATAGAGAACAACACACTGGGGCCTACTGCAGAGTGGAGGGTGGAAGGTGAGAGAGGATTAGGAAAAATAGCTAATGGGTACTAGGCTTAAAACCTGTCTCTGGAAATATCTGCACAACAAATCTCCATGATACACATTTATCTCTGTAACAAACCTGCACATATACCCCTGAACTTAAAATAAACGTAAAACAAAAAACACTTGTTTTGAAAACACAAATTTGTTTCAGCGTAACTATTAGGAAACAATTTGAGAATGACACAAATTACGCACTGCATTTGTGCAGTGTCATGGGTGAGAACCGCTGGGTGAACTCAGAAATTGCATTCTGCTCAATGGAACAATGGAGTTGGACACAAAACACATGCACTCACCTCAAGTATACACCAGCTACCTCAGTTCACTCCCACCCACATCTGGCATTCAAACTTCACTTCTTATTTCAGATAGCCCACATTCTATCACTTCACAATAACTAACAAAAGCAAACCCTCTGCATGCTCACTTCCACGAGCATTGAGCCTTTTTCAAGGTAAAGTGTCTTATTTATTGTATTATTTATATACATCTTAACCATCTAACATGTATAAAACCATGATCCCATTTTCATTAGATTCTTAGATATTTTTATATGACACTGACAAAATTTTTTAAAAGTGTCTTTTTGCTTAACTCCATTTTGCATAGACCTTGTGGCTTTTATTCTACAATTTTGCATAGTGCAAAGAATTTTAGGAACACATATGTCATTTTATAGCAGAACTCGGTAGACCATAAAACTATATATAAATAATTTTGAGAACTTATATTGATCTGATAGAGACAATGATAATTTTACAAGATTATTAATAATCTATTATATATATATTAGGCATAATTTTATGCATGGAAAATTATGCCAACTCTGATTTTTAGGAAAATATAGATATAAAACAAGGCAAAATAATTTCATTTAATGTAGTCAATATTTTTATCTTCATACTACTAAAGCAATAGTTGGAAACATTTAATGTTTTACTTTCATGAACCTATTAATGATATGGTCTATGTTATTAAACTTTTGAGGTAAATATAATTTCTCTTTTATATGATCACCAGAACCCCCACTCTCAATTTGCTCAGGAATTATTAAATACTCTTCTAGATACTACCGCACAAGTAAAAAATTGTACAAATAAAATTGCACACCCTACTGAGAAAAGAACTCTATTTTAGTAACCTTGGTAAAAATTAGAGTATTTTGAAGGTTATTATAATGTACACCCAGAGTAATATTTAAAGCTGACAAATTAGGCCAGCCATGGTGGCTCACGCCTGTAATCCCAGCACTTTGGGAGGCCAAGGCCAAGGCGGACGGATCACTTGAGGTCAGGAGTTCGTGACCAGCGTGGTCAACATGGTGAAACTGCGTCTCTACTAAAAATACAAAAATTAGGTGGGTGTGGTGGTGGGCGCCTGTAATCCTAGTTACTCAGGAGGCTGAGGCAGGAGAATCGCTTGAATCCAGAAGGCGGAGGTTGCAGTGAGCCGAGATCGTGCCACTGCACTCCAACCTGGGTGACAGAGCGAGACTGCATCTCAAAAATAAATAAATAAGTAAATAAGTAAATAAATAAATAAATAAATAAATAAATAAATAAAAACAAAGCTGACAAATTAAAGTCATATTTATTTTTATGCTAAATCTATGGATGTTTCAACAATACAGTATTTTATAGCTTGGAACAAGCTTATCACATATACAAAAAAATCACTTACATTATAGAAACATGACTTAGTTTAGAAAACTAGAAAAGGTCAAAAATAGCAGCACATACTTATAATTCATATCTTTCATTTGAAACCTATGAAGACTGAATAAAGACATATGATATATATATCTAAGGAAAAAGCAAATAAAAAAAGACTGCTAATATTAAATTGTCTTGAAGTTAAAATTAGCCAAATACTCAATACCATCCCTGCTGAAGTCCTGTGACATTTTCAGAAATATTTTAAAAATCTGAAATGCAAATTAATGAGTATTGTCTTCCATTGCCTTAGCTGTCTTTTTCCCATTCATTAATACTTAGTTTTAAGAAATCAACATATACTTATTCTACTACTGGTAGGTAAAATAATTCAAGTTTCATTCTGTTTTCTAATGCTGGTTTAAGATAATATTTCCAATGTTTGAGTGCAAAATTATTTACTCAGAAAATTCAGTGACAATTCAACTTCACTATAATCTACTTACATTTAGAAAACAAATTTTAAAAGATGCTTATCTTTTCTCTTTGCCTTTAGCACTATGGGAAAAAATATTTTTGAAATTATTTAAAATGCAATTAAAAGTGATTTTTAAATTTAATTTGATTAGCAAACTAAAAAGTCAATCACGTTTTAATTCTACGGATCAATATCAGAAAACCAATCACAAAGCAAATAGTATTAGAAGTTAATTTCATATAATGTTTTTACTTTTATTCATCTACTTAGGGATAAATTTACAGATGTATTTACCTTCAAAAAACATTTATTCGTTCTGTCAGTCTGAATTTATTGACCACAATGTACATGCTAAGGTTAAAAACAATTGTACAAAGGCTTATCTGCCATCAGGATGTATATAGTAGAGTAGTTTATTTTTATTTTTTGTGCAAACTTAGTAGGTATATATATTTTGGGGTTACATGAGATATTTTGATACAGGCATGCAATGCATCATAATTACACCAGGGTAAATGGGGTATCCATCACCTCAAGCATTTATCCTTTGTGTTACAAACAATTAAATTATACTTTTAGTTATTTTTAAATGTGCAATTAAATTATTTTTGACTATAGTTTTTCAAAATTAAATATCTCTTAAGATTTCCAAGCCTTTTAACTGCATATATTTTTCAGAGATCATTAGCATAGAAAATTTAAATAATCGACTCTTCCTGCACTGCTTTAAATCATGCAGTACCTCCCCACTACCTGTAAGACCATGTATGATCCCAGTATTCAATTTTGTCTTATGCCACACTCAAACACTGCACTTCAGCCATAACTACTATTTGCAATATACCAGAATTCACCACGTGACTCTTGACTCAAGTGCTTTAATCTTGCTGTTTCCTCTGTTAACATTCCTCCCTGAATCCTTTGCATGTCTGGTTCCTTATAACCTTTTCCCAGAATCTTCCATCGTCCATGTTTTTGTCTGTTTGTTCTTGTTCATTCTCATTCTCATATTCATTAGTTCAATCTCTACCTGTCTGTCTGCCTGCCTGTCTCTCTCTTGCTCCCTCATTCCCTTTCTGCAGGCCTCTGTTTCAGCCTCTGAAAATCATCAAAAACGTGTGTGTTGCAGTGCACACAAATTCACAGTCTTTAAGGTTTATATCAAAAATCGAAAATTCTGCATCATACATGATAAATATTTTCAACTTGGGTAGATAATTCCCAACCATTTTCTAAAGTGGCCCTGTAAATTTATATTTCTGCTAAGAGCTCCTGAAGCTTCACTTCTCAGTTATCACTTGGCATTAACAAACATTTTGAAGCAATTTTTGCTAATCTTATGAGAGTGAAGTGATATTTTATTGTGGCTTTAATTTATATTTTCCTGATTATTAATGAGGCTAAGCATCTTTTCAAAAGCTTTGAATTTCCTCACTGAAAAGTTCCGAGTCAAGTATTTTACTCAGTCTCTATAGGGCTTTTGATAGAAGCTCTTCACACAATCTGATACATGCTTCTACTCAGTTATATGCATTGGAAATATCTTCTTCTGCCCATTTATTGGCCTTTCTAATTTTTTAATAGTGTCTGTTGATAAACAGAAGTTAATGATTTAAATGTAAATGCTATTTTAAAAATGTTTTCCCTTACGCTACTGTTTTAAAGTCTTGTTTAGCAAAGCACCTATCTTCAGGTCAGGAAGTTAATCTCAATACTCTTCTATCTATTTAATGTTTCTACCTTTCAGCTTTTAATCCATTTGGAATTCTTTCCTTATACGGTATGATCTGAAGATTCAGATTTCTTTCTTTCCACATGGACAGGAAATTTCTCAGCACCATTTGAGAGAGAACATCCATTTTCTACTGTTCTTCAGCACTATTTCTGTCATAAATCAAGTACCATTTATGCCAGAATCTGGGTCTATGCTCTCTATTGTGCTCCATCAGTTTACTTGTCTACCGTGCAAATAATGCACTCAACTTGATTACCATAGCTTTCTTATATGCTAGGTTATATTGCAGAAGAAGCTCTTCGATTTTTCTTCAAGAATATCTTTGTTATTCAGAGAGAAAAATACTACAGGTTCTCACTCATGCATGGAATCTAAATATGTCATACTCATAGAAACAAACAACAGAATGGTGCTTACCAGGGCCTGGGGTTAGGGAAATACCGGGAGATGTTAGGCAAAGGTACAAACTTTTGGTTACACAAGACAGTTCCTGGAGATCTAATTTACAACTATATGACAATAATTATATTGCATGGTACACTTGAAATTTGCCAAGAGAGTAGATCTTACATGATCTAAACATAATGAGAAAAAATGGTAAATATGTGAAGTAATGGATATATTAATTAGCTTGACTGTGGTCAATATTTTACAGTATACATGTGTATCAAACCATCAAGTTGTATACCTTAAATATATATAACTTTTAATTGTCAAAAATACCTCAATAAAGTTGAAAGAAGAAAAAAGTGAATGTTTTTGTTTTCCTGGGCCATTTACAGTTCACTATAAATTTTAGAATTGGCTAGCTGGATTCCAAAACAAGAAAAGCAGAACACCTGTTAAAATTCTTATTTTGGTTTCTTTTGGTCAGCTTTTAAAAGAAATCTTCTTTTTAATACTGACCACTGACCATTTCAATCCATGAACAAAGTAAGTTTGTTTATATTTTAGTCTCTCAAGTTTTTTTTTTTCTTTTTTTTTTTGAGACTTAATCTCGCTCTGTCACCCAGGCTGGAGTGCAGTGGCACGATCTCTGCTCACTGCAAGTTCCGCCTCCTGGGTTCACGCCATTCTCCTGCCTCAGCCTCCCGAGTAGCTGGGACTACAGGCGCCCGCCACTGCGCCCGGCTAATTTTTTTTTTTTTTTTTGTATTTTTAGTAGAGACGGAATTTCACCGTGGTCTTGATCTCCTGACCTCGTGATCCGCCCGCCTTGGCCTCCCAAAGTGCTGGGATTACAGGCGTGAGTAGTCTCTCAAGTTTTATTATTTCCACTGTGATGATTGTGAGCATCTTTTGTTGGATTCTCTCCTAGGTACTTGATAATTTTTATGCTACTTTATGTTGTATTGTTATTGTCATTTGTCCCAAGTTATTTTTGAATTTCCCTTTTGATATCTTCTTTGACCCAGTAATTGTTCAGGAACATGTTAATTTCAATATATTTGTGAATTTCCCAGAATTCCTGTTACTGATTTCTAGTTTTATACCATTGCAGTTGGAAATGATACTTGATATGATTTCAACCTTTTTAATTTTGTTATGGCTTGTTTTGTAGCCTAACATATGGTCTTTCCTGGAGAATGTTCCATGTGCACTAGAAATATAAATGATATCTGATTTTTAAGTTTACTTTCTTAATATTTGTTTTTAATATAAAATACATTAAATTTACCTGAGATATAATTCATATACCATAAAAATGATTCTTTTAAAATTTACAATTCAGTGATTTTTAGTATACAGTAAGTCCTTACAATGTCATTAATAGGCTCTTTGAAACCGCAATTTTAAGTGAAATGATGTATAATAAAACCAATTCGGCCAGTTGCTGTGGCTGATGCCTGTAATACCAGCACTTTGGGAGGCCAAGGTGGGTGGATCACTTGAGGTCAGGAGTTCGAGACCAGCCTGGCCAATATGGTGAAACTCTGTCTCTACTAAAAATACAAACATTAGCTGGGCATGGTGGCAGACACTTATAATCCCAGCTAGTCAGGAGGCTGAGGCAGGAGAATCACTGGAACCTGAGAGGTGGAGGCTGCAGTAAGCCGAGATCATGCCACTGCACTCCAGCCTAGGCAGCAGAGTGAGACTCCTTCTCAACAAAAGAAAAAAAATATTGCCATAGGCTAATTGAAATACATAAGAGTAAATTTCCCATGGCATATTTCTGGTCACAAAAACATCACCAAGCTTCCAAATAAAGACCACAGACTCTTTTAATATTAAAAATTAAAGTCAATATGAGCTATACATGCATTTAAGAAAGATTAATAAATACAAGTAAGAAAATTATTTACCAAAGTTTCGGTGAATAATTGAGTAACAGTGGTTGTAGGTTAAATTAAGGCAGTGGTGCGTTAAATCAAGGAATAAATGTCTGCAAATTGAATATTGTAAGGAGCACCTTCGACCATCACACAGTACAAAAACAAACAGTAACAAATTGGGTGGGCTGAATGCTCTCAAATCACATTGTTTATTGTTGTATGTTTGCATGATTATCATCTACTTCACAAATTTTTATTTTATAATAATTTGTATTCATTTATTTTCCAACTGACTTATTTCAGCTCAGGGTGGTGGGTGGCTGGAGCTTATCCCAGCACCTCAGAGTACAAAGGCAAGAACCAACCATGGACAGGATGTCATTCCATCGCAGGGTACATTTACATAAACTCACACTCACTCATACTGGGACAACTTAGACATACCAATTAACTTAACATTCACATCATTGTGATGTGGGAGGACACTGGAGCATCTGAAGAAAACCCATGCAAGCGTGAGGAGAATATGAAAACTCCACACAGACAGTGGTCCCAGTTAGGAATCAATATTTTTCTCTCATCAATGTTATAGTGAAACAACATTGAATGAAAGAACATTATTCAAGGACCTGCTGTGTTCAAAAATTTGTGCAACAATCACAGCTATCTAATTTCAGAATATTTTTTATCAACGCCAATAGAAATTACATGTCCATCAACATTCATTTCTCATGCCAACCCAAAGACTCTGGAAACCATTAGTCTACCTTCAGTCTTTGTAAAGATTTCTATTCTGGATGTTTTATAAATCAAATTGCATAATATGTGGTCATTTGTGCCTGGCTTCTTTCACTTAGCATATGTGTTTAAAGATTCATCCACGTTGTAGCATGTATCACTACTTTACTTTATATAGATGAATAATATTCCATTGTACATATGTTGCACTTTTTTAATCCATTTATTAGTTGATGAGCATCTGGATTTTTCCACTTTTTGGCTATTATAAACAACATTGCTATGAATACTCACATATAAATTTTTTGTGTATGTGGACATATATCGTCAATTCTCTTGAGTGGAACTGCTGGGTCACGTAGTAACCCTGTGTTGGAGTGGAAATGCTGGGTCACATGGTATCCCTGTGTTGAACTTTTTGAGTTATTAAACTGTTCCCCACAGCAGACGCACTGTTTCAAATTTTCGCCAGCAATATATGAGGTTTTAATTTCTTCCACATCCATGCCAACACTTACAAAATGTGTGTCATTTTTATTCTAGCCATTCTAGTAGGTGAGAAGCAGTATCTCATTTTGGTTTTGATTTGAATTTCCCTAATAACTAATGATGTTAAGTGTATTTTAATGTGCCTATTGTCTATTTGTAGATCTTCTTTAGATAAATGACTATTCAAAATTTTTTCTCATTTTTAATTGGGTTATTTGCCTCTGTATTATTGAGTTGTGTCCTAGTCCATTTTGTACTCTTATAATAGAATAACCAAGACTGGGTAAATTATAAATAAGATATATTTTTTACAGTTCAGGAGCTGGAGAAGTCCAAAATCAAGGGGCTGGCATCTTAAGAGTTCCTCTTGCTGTGTCATCCCATGTTAGAACACAGAAAGGCAAGAGCGTGCAAGAATGAAAGAAAGCGAGAGAGAGTTGAACTTGCTTTTATAACAAACCCATTCTCACAACAATAAACCCACTACCAGAATATAATTAATCTATTCATGAGGACAGAGCCCTCATACCCTAACCACCTCTTAAAGCTCCCACCTCTTAACAATGTTGGATTGGGGATTAAGTTTCAAACACATGAACTTTGGGGGACACATTCAAACCATAGTATTTATGCCTGGCCCCCAAAATTTATGTCCTCATATGCAAAGTACATTCATTCCATTACAAAAGCCCTTGTTTTTGTTGTTGATTCTCTAATAAAATAAATTACAGAATTGGTTCTCATATGCTGAACTAACTTTGCATTCCTGGGACAAATTCCACTTCTTCGTAGTCTGTAATGCATTTTCGTATGTTGACAGTTTCAGCTTGCTATTATTTTGTGCAGGATGTCTGTAAAATTCTTCCATGTCCTTCACGTATTTATTACCAGTTTTCATTATTCTGTCATTCAGATTTAAGTTATTGTCTGTTGTTCTTTCATTTCAGCCCGGAGGCTGAGTATCAAATTCCTATGATATGTATTGTAGGGCTGATGTATTAGCAAATAACTCTCTTGGCATCTCTCCATTTGGGAATGTCTTAATTTTTCCGTTTTTTGAAGGATACTTTTTCTAGATATAAATTTCTTGGTTGACTTTTGGCAGGGCGCGGTGGCTGATGCCTGTAATCCTAGCACTTTGGGAGGCCGAGGCGGGCGGATCACGAGGTCAGGATATCGAGACCCTCCTGGCCAACACGGTGAAACCCCGTCTCTACTAAAAATACAAAAAGTTAGCTGGGCGTGGTGGCGGGCGCCTGTAGTCCCAGCTACTCCGGAGGCTGAGGCAGGAGAATGGCGTGAACCTGGGAGGCGGAGCTTGCAGTGAGCCGAGATCTCACCACTGCACTCCAGCCTGGGTGACAGAGCAAGACTCCATCTCAATAAATAGATAAATAAATAAATTTTTTGGTTGACTTTTAAAAAATTGTTAGCACTTTGAGTATATCATCCCACTGTCTTCTGGCCTCCATGGTTTCTGATGAGAGAATAGCTGTTAATCATATTGAAGACCCTTTTTATATAAGTAGCTTGTCTCACCAATTTCAAGTATTTCAAAGGTTTGATTATATGTTTACGTACAGATCTCTTTGAATTTACCTTACATGGAGTTTTCTAAGATTCTTAGATGTGTAGATTAAATCAAATTTGAAAAGTTTTTTTCTTTTTCAACTTTTAAGTTCCAGGGTGGATGTGCAAGGTTGTTACATAGGTAAACGTGTGCCATGGTGGTTTGCTGCATAGATCAACCCATCACCTAGGTGCTAAGCCCAGCATCCATTAACTATTCTTCCTGATGCTCTCCCCCAACCCCACACTCCCATGACATGCCCCAGTGTGTGTTGTGTTGTTCCCCACTCATGTGTCCATGTGGTTTCATTATTAAGCTCCCACTTATAGGTGAGAATATGTGGTGTTTGGCTTTCTGTTCCTACATAAGTTTGCTAAGGATCATGACTTCCAGCTCCATCCACATCCCTGCAAAGGACATGATCCTGTTATTTTCTATGGCTGTATAGTATTCCACAGTGTAATATGCACCACACTTTCTCTATCCAGTTTAGACTTTATCCAGTCTGTCATTGATGGGCATTTGGGTTAATTTTCAGCCTTTACCCCTTCAAATATTTTTCTGTCCTTTTCTCCATCTTCTTGTCAGCATAGTTGATGTTGCCTCATAGGTCTCTGAGTGTCAGTTCATTTTTCTTCGTTCTTTATTCTTGCTATTGCTCAGACTGAATAATCTTAATTGATCTACAAATTGGCTGAGTTTCTTTTATCTACTCAATTCTGCTGTTGAACACTAACAGTTAATATTTTTATGTCATTCATTGTACTTTTTCAATCCAGAATTCCTATTTGGTTTGTGTGTGTGTGTACATATACATATATACACATATATGTATATATACATGTACACACATTTTTTATATATATATATAACTTTATCTCTTTACTCATTTTCTCCTATGGTGAGACATTTTTCACTTGCTTTCCTTATTTGAACATGGTTTCAATTAATTATTCGAGCATATGTGAACAGCCAATGTAAAATCTTTTATTAATAAGTGCAATATCTGGGCTTCTTCGAACATAATTTCTATTGACTTTTCCTGAGAATGGGCCATACATTTTTATTTCTTTGTACATATACTATTTTTTTTTTTGAAAACTGGGCTTTTAAAATAATACAATGTGGCAACTCTGGAAATTAGATTCTCCTTCCTTTTCAAAGTTTATTGTTGTACTTTTTGCTGTTTTGTTTACTTGTTTAGTGACTTTTCTGAACTCATTATGGAAAAGTGGTATTCTCTGTCATGTGTGGCCATTGAAGTCCCTCCTCAGTTTACTTCTTAGTGGTCAGTTAATGATTGGACAAATATTTTGTTAAATATCTAGAGCCAAAAAATTCAGTTTTTCCTGAAGGACTCTGTACTCATATGAATACCTTCATTACTCATTCTAGCAATGTACAACTCTGCCTTAACTTCACTTCCTGCATTGTCAGAGCCTCAAGGTCAGTCAGAGGTTAGAGATTAAGGGTTGTTAAGCCTTTCCTGTGCATTTTAAACTCTGGACATGTGCATAGCCCTATGCTTGTGTGTGGCCACTTGATTCCCAAGAAGATGTTGGATTTTTTCAAACCACCCTATGGGCATCTTGTTCCTCGAATTTTACTTTCAAGGTTTTTGATTAGCCTATTGTTTTCATCATCTCTTATTCTCCCAACGAGCAACTGCAATAAGCAATTGCCTCTGATTGTTTTTGAGAAACAAACCTAGAAAAGCTGTTCACACTTCAGGAGCTGTGAATAAAGACAGATTTATGAGTGGGATCTTTGTTGGAACCATGATACAGGGAAAATTATAAAAATTATCTGAAAATAGGGCTTTGAAAGATCACCCTTTTTCGCCCCAGAGTCACTTATTTTAAAAGCTACCTTCAAACTGGGAGTGGGAAATTGTAACAGAGCAAGTTAAAACACCACAACGTTTATTGCTCTTACCAATATTCAGTTGCTATTGAATAAACACTACCTAGATTGCTAAACACTTTTATTTCCAGAGTTTTGAAAAATTATATTCTGAGGATTTTTGTTCATGTTCTCAATGCTTTTATGGAGGAGAGGATATATGTAGTTGCTTATTCTGACTATTTTGCTCAAGTTACTACCTAATTTTACTATATTGATGTTTTCTTTTATCCATGTACTTTGCTAATATTTCTTAAATTGTTTTTCTGAAGATAATTTTGTTTTCATAGGAATACAATAATTGAATCTTCAAATAAAGACATGCTATTCTCCTTGCAATTCTGTACCTGTAATTTTTTGTTTTGTTTTGTTTTTTTTTTGCCTTACTGCAACGTCTAGAACTTAAAGAATCATTCAGAGTAGAGGTAATAATAATGGGCATCTTCCTCCTGTTCCCAGTCACTATGAAACTTTGAGTATTGTCATAACCTCAGATTAAAAGATTTCCCTACTCATCATAGATTGCTAACATTTTTTGTTTGAGTCACTGGTGAATTTTATAAAATTATTTTTTCTGCATCTTATGAGATGATTTTATTGTCGTATGTCTTAAATGTGTTAATATGGTGAATTACCAAGAATTAACTACATCAGTCAAAAGCCATGAATGCATAGTTATAAGAAGACCAGCTATAGCAAATAAAAAAAAGATCAGGAAGTAGTAATAAAAATGCTTTTCTTTTCTAAAAAATGAATATTTGGACACACACAGTTTGTACAAACTGCTGAGGAGAACACTAAAGATAACACTGGTCCAATTTAATGAAGTTTTCCACTGTCAGCTCTAGCAGGTGCATGGAATTGAATAATTTACAAGAGATTTTTGGCAAGTTCTACATTTGTCATCTCCCTTAAAAGATGTGGTGACTGGAAATCATGTCAATAACACTAAAATATTCAAATAAGCACCAACTATATGTATAGGCCAGGGTTGCAGAACACATACACTGTTTTAAGGTTGCCTGGATTTAAAACCCAGATCTGCCATTTAATAGCTATGACTGTGGGCATCACACTTATTTTCCTGAGCCTCAGTTTCCTCTTCTGCTACTATATTAACATTATCTTCACAGAAATCTTGTAAGGATTACATGTATTATATATGTCAAGTGCTTAATAGAGACTCTGGTAATAGAAAATTCTACACAAGTGTTAGTTATGATTACGTATTTTTTGACCACTTTAACAGTTCCACCTTAGATGGGTTCTATCATTGATACTACCTTTTATTTCTATAACTACCATAAATTTTCATTCTTATTTATTATTGCTATTTAGATTGCTAGTATAATACTCATCCCAATAAATCAGTACTAATATTGGGGAATTAGATTTTTTAATCACTGTCCCCAACTTTTACTACAAAGATCTATTAAAGGTGAATTAATGACAACTTTAGTCTACCATACAGACATAGTATTGGATTTATAATCTCATTAAACCTTTAAAGACTTGTATTTCAATATTGCTTATATTTAGAATTTCAATAAAACTATAAGAGAGCTTCAAGGATAATAATGTTCTCTCTCTTATGAGTTTCATACTTGTATATGTTCTTCTGTTGCTGTTTAGTGTCCCTTAGTTTAAACTTGAAGAACTTAAAAAAATGGTAACCATGTGAGGAGATGGATACCTTAATAGCTTAACTAGAATAATCATTTTACTATGTATGAGCATATCAAAATAACTTGTATACCTTAAATAAATATATAATTTTCTTTAGAAACAAGTAAATAGTAAAAAATAAGATTTGTTTTGACATTATAACTGTTTCAGGATCCTTAGGGTGTTAACTTTTCCACCCAGAAACCTCTGTGGCCAGTGTTGCCTTTGTCAGAGTTTTGGTTGGGCCCACTGGGCTCATTCCACTCACTCAGCCTGGCAGACTGCACCTGTCTTGTGCTACTGGCCTGTATCCCATGCCTGCCAAGGGTGAGCCAGGCATGTAGTGGCAAGGGGTGTGTGAGCGAGTGTGTGTGGTCCAGACACTGCACACAACCAGGCAGACCGGTGGCTGTGGTGGTGTGGGCAGCTCCAGGCACCGGCTCCATGCAAGGCTGTGGCTGTATCAGATTTACTACAAGTGGCTTCTACTATGGGCACCGATATCTGGATGAGGGAAATATGCTGGTACCTGGAAGCTTGGAGACACCAGGAATCATAGAGCCCCAAAGAGGGTGTCATAGCCCTGGTTCAGGGAACCCTTAGGTCTGGGCTCCCCAAAGGGCCACAGCTCTTCTGTCCTTCTTGTCACCCACAACGTGGTGAGCAATGTGGTGGGGGGGGGGCATTTCATCCCTGTTTTTGTTACAGCTCTTTAGTCTCACCATTTGGTGGGTCCTGAGTTCTTGTCCCACATCTAGGAAGAATGAGGTACACCGACAACTGGAGGGTAAGCAAGGCAGAGAGGAGGTTCATTGAGTGACAGAACAGCTCTCTGGAGATCCGAAGTGGGTAGCTCCTTTCAGCAGGCAGGTGATCCTGACAAGTGTCTAGGTCTCAGTGAAGAGGAGATGCATAGTAGGTAGCTCCTTTCCACAGGCAGGTCATCCTGACAAGTCAAGCAGATCCAAAGTGGGTAGCTCCTCCCTGCAGCTGGTAAGTCCTGACATCTGTGTGAGTGTGGCTGAGTCTGGGGTTTTCATGGCTCAGAAGGGAGGATGCAAATGCTAACTGGTCCATGGACTGCCATGGGTGCGTCCAAAAAAAGCACCATACATTCTTACTCTGGGCCACAGACTCCACCTGGAACTGACACCCTGGCCTCCAGGCTTCAGGCTGTCCCTGGCTTGAAGGTGGGGCTTCTGGAGGGACCGGTCCCTTTCCACCCAGGAACCTGTCTGCCTCCCACTGCCATCAACATGCCATCCATGGCACCCATGCTGTTCATGCTGAGGGGTGCCTGCAGGCCTTCACTGAGCTGCCCTCAGCCCTCCCTGCTCCCTGTCTCCCTCCCATGCTTATTGGCACCCGAGGTCTGGCGGGGGCTGAGGCAGCAGGGGGCCGGCATATCTGTGCTGCCCTGAGCATGCGCACACCCATCAGGTCATGACAGTGCCCAGGCTTGGCTACAACTCTGCTCCACACTGGAGTGGGCACCGGGAGTGGGGAGAGGCCAGGGAGGGGGAGCAGGCCCTCCTGAGCCTGCAGGGGCAGGGGGAGCTTCTTGGGCCCCTGAGAGTACAGGGCTGCCCAGGTCCAGAGCCACAGCTGGGTGGCTACAGCTGCACCCAGGAGTGCAGGGCTCCCACCCTGCCAACTGGGTAGGGGGCTGGGCTCCCACCTGTTTCTGGCCCCTGCCAGCTCCATGGAGCATGCAGCCCTGGCCGTGCCTCCTTGGCTGTAGCTGGCATCCTCACAGCAGCCCCTCCAGACATGCTGTTGCTGGCATCTTAATGATAATTTTATATTTCTTATTAAGTATTTCCAAGTTGTGAAGTAAGCTCTCATCCAAACGCTGCTATAAATTCTTACAAAGGTAAGAAGTATCCCTTAGTAATCATAAAACAAATTAGTTCCAGTCATATAAAAAAGGAGAAAATAGAGGTGAATGTTCCATTGCATTGATGATTCGGAAATCATAGATGATATTCTGAATCAAGCCAAGAAATCAAAGGACATTAGAAGCAACAATAAAGAGGATGAGGGATTTTAGAGGTGAGAGAATCACTTGGAGGTGTAGGAGTCAAGAGAAAACTTCCCATTCACCTTCTGGAGGTTTGCAAAAAAAATCAACTCACAAAAGGCAGATTAATAGGAGAAAGCGCATACAAATTTAGTTTAATGTGGAATTATAGGAGGATGATTACCCAATAACCCAATTAGGTATAGATGATTATATAGTCGTCTTCTTAGGGGAATAAACAGATGAGAACGTGTTGATTATTTTAGGGGGTAGTAAATGACTTTTATGGAAATTCAATGGGCTTGAATAACACACAATGGCCTGGAACAAAGTCTGTTTGGCCCTTAGAGCAGACAATGGTTTGTGACAAAAGTCTGCACAGGTTTGTTGACAGCCTTTAGTCTTTCTTCCTGCAATGCGTTCAGTTAATGAAAGCTCAGGCAATGGACAAGAGGTGGTTGTTTTATTCTTTGGTAGATCCAGACTTTAGGCAGGTAAAACAGCTTCAGAGGACAATTTCATCCTGTACTTTGGGTTGTACACAGGATTGAGAGCAGGAGGTGGAGAGGGTAGGGTGTCAGACCTTGAGGCTTCTTGTTCAGCTCAGCATGTCAAAGTGTCATATGTGGGGCATTAGTTTCTGAGCCCCAACAGGGGAAAGCTCCCCCGAATTTTGAATCACTACTTCATTTTAACTAATGGCAGCTTGTGAGATAATACACCTTCCCAGGTTTTATTCAACCTTCATGATGTAAAACAGAACTGGTTAAAATGATAAATGACACCATGGTAAAGCCTGAAATGTTGTTGGTTAATAGACAATATTAATTAATTCATTCATTTTTCCATTTGTCTTTCATTCAGAAAATATAGTTAAGTACCTGCTATGAAGTTGGTGTGGGAGATAGAAGAAGAAAAGGACAAGTGTGATACCTTTCCTCATAGAGAGTGGTAGACAATAAACCAGCAAGCAAGCCACAAGTAGACGAAATAATTTTAGTAACTTTAGTGCTTTTAGTAAATGCTAATAATAAGAGTCATATGATAATGAATAAAACTTTGAGCAGGTATATTTTAAATAAGTTTGTAATGGAAGACTCACTGAGGAACTGACAGGAAAAGCATTTAAACCGAAACTTGAAAGATAAGCAATCAGCCATAGGAAGGGCTAGTACGTATTTCTAGCACCTACATCCTACAGGCCCAGAGCTTGCATCAGTAGTGAATCATGGCATATTTTTCTGGAAATCCTGAAGGAAAACTCAGTATCTTTCACAACTTCCTGCTGCCAACTCAATATCATATTCCTACAAGCTAACGAGATGAAAATTACTACCATTCTGGGTCCGGATCTCTTATAACAGTAATCTTTATTTACCACAACTCTTAATTCTGCCTTTTATTCATTTTCTTGTCCAGGAAAACTCCCTCTCCAGAAATAATTTCTCCCATGATATTTTATGAACAAAGCTTTGTCTTTGCATTTAGGGACTTCTGCGGCTCATCTGTGTAGAGGTGATAAGTCTATCCATCCAAGAGAGAGCATTGGGGTGCTCTTAATTTTCACGTAGTATTGTTAATTTCTCCATCACCCTATCCAGATCTATTAATTACCAGTCTCCTAGACTTGAAAAACTTCTCAAATAACACAAACTTTAACTGGCTGTTCAGCCCACTTTATGAGAATTATATTTTTGAAGTATTGTGCATTAATCCCTCTATCTCAGCAAATTTTCCCCAAACTTTAAAAATCAAACTCCCATATTTATGACAAGGAACTTGACCTTGCTGGCTATACTGCCCTTTCATCCCTGATAGTGGCCCCTAGGACTCTCTAGAGGACCTTTATTTGTGTGAATAGAGTTGCAAGCCACAGCTCCATGTAACAAACATCCTTTCATCAAAAGAGACCATAAAACAATATTATATTTCATAATTGGACCATTAAAAAAATCTTATTCATCTACAGAATTGGACTTAATAAGTAGCATTTTGTTGTTATGTTCCCCCATTGCTTTAATAAAAATACAAGATATGTTCTTATGAAATAACCTATTACAATTTCCAGAGAGATATTTTTGAGGATGTATTTATCTATAGGTTGATGCAAAAGTAATTGCAGTTTTTGCCATTAAAAGTAATGGTAAAAATCGCAATAACTTTTGCACCACCCTAATACAACATTCCTCTTACTTGATCCCTCATGTACAAGGTTTAGAGGAAAAGTTTTCTGTGCCTTTTAGTGTTAGACTATTCTATTCTCTTCAGTAATCCGGATTTATCACACTGACTACATCTCCCTCTACTTTGCTTGTCACGAACTCGAAAAAAATTTCTCAGTCACACACTTATGTAGGCCTGCATGTATGAATTATACCTCATCTTTTCCCTTTGACCTGTTTGATAATTTATGTCATTTACTTTATTAAAATTGTTTGTTGTATATCTACTATGTACCAGAGAATGTGATATTTACAAATGAAAACCATAATATGCAGGACATGTCAGGGACAACATAGGCAACTGGAAGAGGGCGACTGGCCAAAGAAAAGGCAACAGTTCTGAAGTGCTATGGTTGGATCACCTGAATCTCACAATTATTTGACTTAATCCTCCCTGGTCCAGCCTTCTCCTCACTTTGCCATTGCCACCTCTATGAGTTACTTGAATGTTTTTTCCTCCTTAGTAAAAGAAAGATTTAACTCTAAATTCTGATGTATAAAATATCTGTGATTATAATGCTAAATATTTGATTTAGCAACTAAATGGGTTTACCATCTTAGCAGCTTTATTAAAAAACAAATTATTTCATAAAATGTACTCCTCCTGATTAATCTCTCCATGAGACACATCTCACAATAACAACATGTACTAAATTAATAACTTTAAAACATGGAATAGTCACAGCTAATATCCACTGAATTTGGTTAAAGGTTTGCCTCACATCAGAGGAAGTGACAGATTTTTTTCTTTCCCAGGAATTGTATTAGTGAGTAGTTTTTCCCTGTGGGGATCTTGCTACAGATAGGCTTATTTTTTAGGAATTTATTGAAGTTTCATCTTCATGTCATTAATATCTCTGCTTCCCATGTTGCCCATTTCCAAAAAATCTTTACATTGCATTTGGAGTGACATAATATTTTTTTCTTAGATAAGGGATTGGGGACTAGAAGATGCGTGTCATGAAAACAGAATTTGAGTAGCCTACTGTAAAAAAAATCTAGGTGGTTGAATATAATAAACTTGATGCATACATATATTTTACATAGTCAAAGCTATATACTGTTGTCTCAAAACAAAATATCCTATTCCTTAGTTATTTTTTAAATTCCCCTTTAAATACGACTTGATATAGTAAAAAGAGTAAAAATGTTGGCGTTTCTCTCCTGGTTCTGACATAACTCTTTCAAATACATCATAGAAGACCATTGACTCCCTGCGTATCTGTATCCATCACAGTGCAGACAATATATAGATGGCACACAATGGGATAATTGAAATGAGGTAGACAGGGTTAAATTAACCAATAAAGACTGTGAAGCATGCAGAGATTAATAATACTAGAAAGCTCTTATCCTCCTAGGCCTGAAGGGAAAATGGAAAGGAGATAACTACGGGGGCCTAGTGAGAGCTGAGCTTTGGAAGACAGGGTGTACAAAGGTGGCTGTGGCCATAGTTAGAAAATGCAGGCCAGGCACCGTGGCTCATGCCTGCAATGCTAGCACTTTGGGAGGCTAAGATGAAAGGATCCCTTAAGCTCAGGATATCAAGACCAGCCTAGACAACACAGTGGGACACTGTCCCCATTAAAAATAAAAATAAAAAAGTAGTAGGGATTGATGGTGCAGGCATGTAGTCCCAGCTACTCAGGAGGCTGAGGCAAGAGGATTGCTTGAGCTCAGGAGGTCAAGGATGCAATGAGCTATGATCATGCCACTGCACTCCAGCCTGGGCAACAGAGATAAACCTTGTCTTAAACAAACAAACAAAAGAAAACCACATTTACCCTGACTGTCAGCAGGATAATAAATACCACTTTCCCCTTCAATGCTCACCTCTCTTGCCAGTGATTTCTATTGGGTTAACAAAACCAGAAGCCAGAGTACAGAGATAATTGCTTACAGAGTCCATAGAGATCAGTCTTCTAGGTATTAAGCAAGGTGGAGAAAGGTAGAGTATAAAACTAGATGGGTGAGAGGAAAATGTCTTGCACAGTAATCAATTCTATTATCTGCGCAACAGTAGAAACAATAATTTCCTGACTTGCTTGGCTTACAGGGAAGATTTAAGACTAAAATGATGTTTCAGATAATAATTCATAACCTCTAAAACATGTCACAATGAAGTGTCAAAATATCTGGCTGTTTAGCAATTTAGAGAAAATATGCAAAACAAAATTAGTTTTCTTATTTTAAGTCTATTTTTTTCTAATGAAAAGCTTAAGAAACTGAGAGATTTTGAAAATCATGGTACTGAAAACATTCCCTGTTGTGAGACATTCAAATTGTTTTTAATTCTCATTTGTGTAAATGAAACAAAGATGAATATCTGGGTTTCTAACACTTGTTTCTCTGATACAAATTCTTGGGCTCTTGACACTCCATTGTCAAATTGTTTTCACAAAACCTGCACCTATTCACACTCTTTATTTTATAATGGTAAACTGGTATCTGATTGCTTTATTAGCAATTAATTTTCTTACTGATTACACACACATATATAACATGCCTTTGCATTTAATAGTTTCTCAAAATTGTGTCACTCTTTATCAACTTTTAAACCATTTACCTGGAATATTTTATCTGCTACAATATTCATTATATATTTTCCTCAGTTTTAAGTGTAAAATTATAATTTTCTCTTTAATCCATCTGAAATTTATTTTGGTGTAAAGAAAAGGTCTAACAGGTCTAATATTTTACTGAGTAGCTTAACAAATTTCACAGCATTACTGAATATTGTTTTATTTTCTGACTAATCAGAGTTCTTTATCATATCATTGAAAGATTTATGTTATCTTTAAATTACAAATAGAGAAAGAACAGTTTTCATTTATCTTGAAATCAATTACAGTGCATTGTGATTTTTCTTGATTGGTTCTATATTTCCTGAGCCACTGAATATTCCAGGAAGTTCTTGAGGCCATCACAAACGACTTGATTAATGTTTTGAGTTTTTCCCATTAAAATTTGGACATTGCTTCAGTGTTTTCTAGTGTTAATGTTATGTCAACGTCTGAGAGCTACTTGATTTTTGTCCTTAAGTACACAAGTTTTGTTGGCTTGTTTGTTCTATTCAGATTTCTACAGAATTAATTTTTTAAGTACCAGGATAATTCTTAAAAAATACATTTGAAACATTTTCTGTAGCTCAATCTAATGTTCCTCTCTTCAGTTGTGGCTTTGTCTTTGGCAAGCACAATTGTATATAAAATATTTTCCCTCTTTTTTTCCAAATTACATTTAGGTTTATATACTGATTTTTGTCTTTGTTTCAAACAGATTCATTTCTTAATTCCATCCCCTACAGAGCCCATGTTTCTGGTGTTATTTTTGTTATCAGCACACCTGGTGAAACTTTTAGTTTCCATATTAGGTCGTTAGATTCCTTGCAATCTATGCTTAATTTTATTTAAGTTTATTTTACTCTCCATTTTCATTTTGCATGATTGTATTTAAAGTCCATCATCTGTAAATTACATTTTGAAAAGTATTCAGAGTAGCAAGGTTTACATGTCATTTGAGAATATATGGAAGTTATATCTTTTTTCTTCAGCTGTGACATTTTTGAAGTAAATATTTAAGACATGCTAGTTTTCTAAACTGTTGAGACTTTTTCACAAACACCAGACTCTTTTCTCTATTCATACTTCCTTATAAAACAATATATCTAGACACATTGTTTGTCGATCTTTAGATTGTTTCTGGTGCCACTCACTGCCCAAAAGGATTTTGATATAACCCTATCTTAATTTAAAGCTGAAATGTAGGTTGATGTGTGCATCTTCTGGAGCAATTTAGGGTGCAATCAGAGATTTATCATCTGACTTTGTGAGCTTCATGTGGGCCTGTCCTGACAGTTCCCTAAAAGACAAAGATCCGTGGTTTTTGCGTTGCATTGCAGATCTTTAGGAGTTCTTGGAGGTGCTCTGGTGCCTTCCAAGGAACAAGCAGGAGCCTTAATTAGTGCTGTTCTGGCAACCAGGCTTACATTTCAACCACATGTGTTCTAATTTATAAGTTTAAGTATTTGCTTTGTATATAGAATTAGATGCGAATGCAAACAATGTCTCATAGAGCAGTGCTGCTTAACATCTGTATCAGTCACCTGGTCAGCTTTTTAAAATGTACTTTCTCATCCTGTGTCTCTGGCCTAAGGCCAGAATTTTGTAGTTCTAATGAGCTACCAGGTAATGCTGATGGTACAGCTCTGTGGAATACACTTGAAGTAGCTAAGTAGTCTGGGAGCCTTTGAGTAATCTCAGCTATGCTATAGCCAGTTGTTATGTATAAAATTGCTATTGTTTAAATGTGCCCTTCTGAAATTCAGGTTTCACCAATTCCATAGTATTAAGAGGTGGGGCCTTTAAGAGGTGATTAGGCCATGATAGCTCCTCCCTCTTGAATGAGAATTAGGCTCCTATTTATGAAGCTTTCAACAGTACCTTACTTTTTTTGCCTGTTGCCATCAGAGAACAAAGTGTCTCTTCCTCTGGAGAATGCAGCAACAAGGTGCCATTTTAAAAAAGACAGAGCAGCCCTCACCAGACAACAGAAACATGATCTTGAACTTCCCAGCCTCCAGAACTGTGGCAAATAAATGTCCCTTCTTTATAAATTACCAACTCTCAGATATTATGTTATAGGAGCCCAAAAAGTCTAATACAAGAACATGATGCACACTAGGAGGCACTTTTCCCAGAGATCTCTATGTCTCCGTTCACAGTGCTTTTTGTGAGGAACTATATTGTTTTTATAATGCATGGTGTTGCCAAACCTGCTCTTAAAATCCTATAATGTTCCTTACTAGTATCTGTCATTTTCTTGCTTTTTAATATTTTCTTGTGGTGATTTGTCATAGTTGTAGCTGTCTGTGATCTCTTAACCAAACCTACTGAGTTTGAAGAACTTCATACATGAATTCTCCCCCTTCAAAATTGAAGAAAGTTACTTTGCATCCTTTTTTAAAGTCAAGTCAGGGATGTACATGTGTTAGACAACCCCAGTCAGATGCAATCTAGCAAGATTCTTCTTCTAAAGGGAGTGAGGAAAAAAAGAGAAGTAAAATAAAGATAGTGAGAAGAGGGAGCAGATGCCACTCTCTGGTGAGGATGGTGCTTATAGAAAAGGACATGGGAGATGTCCAAGAGGGACATGCCATCTACACATTAGCAAGTATTTAAAAACAAACTAGGTTCTACTTTGGAGGTGGAAAATTCTCTAATAAAACAGAAAGAAGCATAATTTGGATATTGGTCCACAATGCATACCTTCCAAACCGGACCCTCTATTTTGCTTCTCCCACTTTTAAAAATTCCTCTTAGTATTTACCTGAGAAAATACAGAATATTTTAAATTAATTCCCTTACAATGAACATTAGCTAGCATAGTTTCTGTTGTGGGCAATTAACCATCCTGACTAATACAGTACTCCCTAAAACAAATATTTAATTTAAACACAAATTGTTCCCTGTATTAAACAATGATAAGATAGAAAAAATAAATTTTTCCTTATGAGGCATACTAATATCATGAGAGAGGGAAGGACACTATGAACAGATGAAGAAGTTTTTCTCAATGTTTAATTTTCCAAAGTCTGTAAAAGATAATTAAGAATAAACATACAAAGCAGCAGAAATCACTAATGGAAAGAGGAAAGGAAAATAATTAGATATATTTCCACATAAAAAATCATATGAGGTGAGTTTCATTTATCTGCCACACTATAATGCACATTTTGTGTTGTTAAGGTCACTAAGTCCAGGAAGCATAATAACTTTCTTTTTTTCCAATAGTATTGATGAAGTCTTCACTTGCAGTTCTGATCTGCTTCTCTTAAACTGGCAAAAAAAAAAAATGCTGTAAATATGTCTATGCTACCCAAAGCAATTTACAGATTTAATGTAATCCCTACCAAAATACCAAGGACATTCTTCACAGAAATAGAAAAAAAACTATCCTAAAATTTACATGGTACCACAAAAGATCCAGAATAGCCAAAGTCATCCTGAGCAAAATGAACAAAACTGAAGGAATCACATTACCTGATTTCAAATTATACTACAGTGCTATAGTAATCAAAACAGAAAGTTACTGTCATAAAAACAGACACACAGATGACCAGAAAACAATAAGAGAACTGATAAATAAATCCATGTATCTACAGTGAACTCACTTTTGACAAAAGTGCCAGAAATATACATTAGAAAAAGAACAGTCTCTCAACTGTTGCTGGAAAACTGGAAATCATTATGCAGAATAATGAAACTAGCCCCTATCTCTTACCATATACTAAAATCAAATTAAAATGGATTAAAAATTTAAATCTAAGATCTCAAACTATGAAACTACTACAAGAAAACATCGGGGAAACTCCACAGGATGTTGACATGGGCAAACATTTTTTGAGTAACGCCACACACGCACAGGCAACCAAAGCAAAAATGGACAAATTGGATCACATCAAGTTAAAAAGCTTCTGCACAGCAAAGGAAACAATCAACGAAGTGATGAGGCAGTCCACAGAATTGGAGAAAATCTTAGCAAACTACTAATCTGACAAGGGATTAATAACCAGAATATATAAGAAGCTCCAACAACTCTATAAGAAACAATCTAATAATCTAATTTAAGAATGGGCAAAATATTTAAATAGACATTTCTCAAAAGAAGACATATGGATGGCAAACAGGCATATGCAAAGGTACTCAACATCATTAATCATCAGAAAAATGCAAATCAAAACTCCAATGAGATATCACCTCACCCCAGTTAAGATGGCTGATATCCAAAAGAGAGGCAATAGCAAATGCTGGCAAGGTGATGGAGAAAAGGGAACCCTCCTACGCTCTTGGTGAAAATGCTGATTAGTAAAATCACTATGGGGAACAGTTAGAAGGTTCTTCAAAAAACTAAAAATAGAGCTACCATATGATCCCTGAATCCCACTGCTGGGCATATATCCCAAAAAAGAAAATCCATGTATGGAAGAGATATCTGCACTCCCATGTTTGTTGCAGCACTGTTCACAATAGCCAAGATTGGATTTAACACAAGTGCCCATAAATAGATAAATAAAGTGTGGTACTTATGTACAATGAAATACTATTTAGCCATGAAAAAGAATGGGATACTGTCATTTGCAACAACATGGATAGAACTAGAGGACATTTTGTGAAATGAAATAAGCCAGGCACAGAAAAACAAACATTGCATGTTCTCATTTGTGGGATCTAAAAATCAAAACAATTGAACTCATAGACATAGAGAGAAGAAGGATGGTTATCAGAGGCTTGGGACAGTAGTGGGGATGGTTAATGGGTACAAAAATTATTTAGGAAGAATGATTAAGACCGAGTATTTAGTATTTTATAGCACAACGGGGTAACTATAGTCAATAATTTCATTGTACATTTAAAAATAACTAAAATAATATAATTGAATTGTTTTGTAACTAAAGGGATAAATGCTTGAGGAGACTGATGCCCCATTCTCCTTGATGTGATTGTTACACATTGCATGCCGTGTCTTTATCAAAATATCTCATGTACTCCATAAACATATACACATTCTACGTGCCCATAAAAACTAAAATTTAAAAGAAATTAGGGAGGGCATTTTTCATGTCTTCATATTTTCTTGAAATTTTATTATCATTAGCCAGAAATCAAAAGAATGAAGAAAATGGTGGAAATATTTCTAAAATAATAAGCAATAAATGAAATGTAAAGAAAGGATAAAAGATACTTATTATAGTCATAATTTACTCATCTTAGGTACAATTTGTTTTCCTTAAATCATGTATGAGAAATTAGGGTGAAAGGAAATTATAAACACATATATATTCTTCCTTTTCAAGGTAGTAATTGGTTATTAAAATCTTCTCTAAATCCCTGAACTCTATTAAGCATCTAAGAAAGATATTATTTAGAGCAAAAATTCTACTAAGGATGTCACCTTTGTGAGAATTATTTCTAATCTAAAGCTGACACATAACTGGACATTTCTCAAACTAGAAGAAATTACAGGAAAATATCCATCTATGCATATCTGTTACAGTTTTTTCAAGTTAACTAAGATTTTAAAATTTAACAAAATTTCACTTTCCATACTGTATTATTTTTTATATCTTCTGAAGTACACAATCTACAATCTGTTCCATTATTCTAGAAGTGTCTTAGCACTTTTTGATAAATAAGAAAGATGCAAAATATATAATTTCATAATCTACACTTACATATCACATTTTATATTTTTATATCTGACTACTCCTTTTAAGAAGTACTTCATTGATAATATTCCATAATGGCACTGTATGAAATACATTGCAACACCAGTTCCTCTATGAATTCTGTTCATTGATGACTTCACTTAAGAAAGGTTTGTGCTTAGTGGACAGTATTACATAAATAATCCCTCTTAACATCTCTCTTTGCAGAAGACCCACATGAAATTCCATCTTCAGTTTAAAGACTAAGTTCTGTGTTCAGAAACATTCTTACCCAATTTAAGAAACTATATTCAAGGGGAAAATTATGGGGTGTTTTTCTCAACTGAGGTCAAAGCTTAGTCTTTGGCTATCTAGAAATAGGATAGAAACATCAACCACCAGAAAGAAAGAAAATGTTCACAGGGAGAACTCAGAGTGAAATATGATTTCATCTTACGGACATTTGAATGGGTGCTTTTGTCTTCACGCCTTTAACTAAAAGCACTCACACTTAAAAGAATGAGAGCACACTTCTTACTTCTTGGATATTTTATTTCTACTAGGATGCTGAGTAGCAAGTGGAGGTTCAATAAATGCTCACAAAACGGGCAGAAAAAGCTTTATGGCTTCATGAAACTGTAATATAGAGGCTTCTTGGTCACTGAAAGGCAAATAAATATAGATCTAAAAAGTACATATATGCTTCCCCAAGAAGAAATCTGTCAATTCTTATAGAATGAGACACCGACTATAATAAGTACTCTCTTACTTTTTACTAATGTTACTTAAGTGGTAGAAACAAACTATGAAATGGCACATCTAAAAGATATTTTTTTCCTAAGAATCTTTTATTTATTAAAGAAGTTCTACTAGTAGTTTAATAGGCTTATTTTAATTCATTAAAAGTATAATGTAAGTAAAATACAGAGCAAAAAAATCAAGGTTTTGAATTTTTAAAGGATTAATCTAATAATGGATAAAATTTTCTAATGTCTATACTTTTAACTTCAAATTGTAAAACTATAAATTAACTAAATGTTATTTCTCCCTTAAGTCTTTGTTTCCAATTAGGTAAGATTTTTCTATTTTTTCTGTCTCATTTTACATTGTAACTTAAATGACATATCATATTCTCTCTTGTAATATTGTCACTTTTGTATTAATGTTATTCTGCTACTAAATGATCAGTTCCATGAAGGCATGCTATAGATCTCATTATTTGTCACAAGTTTTTATTACCTGTTTGCGATAGATTCCATCTATATCCATGATTCTTCACCCCTCCCTGTATCTACACCCATTGCTATGTAACTTTGCATTTCCTTCCAGTCATAGGTAAGGTAACAGGCCTGCCAATTGACATTGAGCTCAACTGTAAGACTTGCTTTAACCAATGGGGAACTATCAGACATGGTGCAAGTGGAGGTTTAAAACAGACTTGCACATGGGCTTTGCTCTCTTTTGTACCTCTACCATTAACATAAAAACATTCTCAGGTTTGTTTGCTGAAGGATGAGGGGTGTGTGGAACACAGCTGGGTAACCCAAATCATCAAGGTCAACCTAGTTAAAGTGGTCATCAGCTGACCCTAAGACATGTGAGGAAGTTCAGCCAATCCCTACCTAGAGAACTAAATACTGAAGAAAAATAAGAACTCTATGTTTGGAGTTACTGAGTTTTGGGATGGTTTTTATAAAGTCACAGGTAATAGATCTACACTAGAATAGTATATCTATTGGTATAATATATTGTAAACAATATGTGCTCCAAAAATGTGGAATTAAAAATACTTTATTTTGAAAATTTATCTTCACAGACAACAAAGAAGGTATAACTAAAACAGAGCCACCAGACTGAATGAAAAATTTGCATTTGAATATGTTTTCTTTAATCAGTTTCCGGTACTATATAATATAGTATAGCTCAAGCACATTCAACTACAGGGATATCCAAATGACCCAATAAGATCAGAGTACTCCAACACTTTGGATATGCTGACAGATTTGTGTGTGAGTATATAACCCACTAAGGGCCATATAAAATTTTTATTTAAATTTCCTTTCCATTTTTGAGGTTTTAAGAAAAGGGAGAAGTATAACATATAGATTCTTATAGTAATTTTTCTCTCTTCAAGGGAGATTCACCAATAAATCAGAGATACAAAGTATGCTCTCAGAAAGCTGTTTAGTCATTTAACAATATTAGCATAAATTTGACTATAGTACAAGAGAGAATATGATGTGTCATAGTGTTACAAGGCACAATGGGAAGAAGTAGGAGAAAATTACAATGTACAAAGATAGTCAGTGGGAGTAGAAATAAGAGACACACAGAGAAAAAGACTTATTATTTTATTTGAAGCACTGTATGAAGCCTTGCCTGAATTCTGTTTTAAGTTTTTAGGCTAATACCTCCTTTATATTTTTTTTTATGAGCTAGCTAGTAAGTGATAAGTATTACTGAACAAACAAATGGATGATTTTCATTAAAATCAACATAGGTCATAGTCTCTATTCTTTATACCATAGCCAGTTGACAGTATATTATATGCCAGACTATAGTGCAAAGTGCTAGTCTCCAGCCAAAGTTTCAAATTCAATCTCTCTTTTCCACAAGAAGAGGTAAACAGGGAACAAGTAAATTTTAATTTAAAAAAAAAAAGTTGGGAAACGTAAAAAGTAAAAAGCCCATAGTTCAGTCCCAGGGTAATAAACCATACAGACTGATGCAGGGACCAGCAAAGCATGTGGGAAATAATACAACACGGTGACTTTACAATCTCGTTATACATGAAAACGTTATAAATCCCATAAGATAACTAAGAAAGAATGCAAGGTTACATATTTTAAAGGCTCTATTTTTGTACAAGAGAATATGATAATTGTAGGCTCTTAGTTTAATGGGAGATAAAAATAAATAAAATATAACTTGATGTGTGCTACATATTGAAACATAAATATAATATTAGATCTCAGCACTCAGATCTTGATTTCTAATACCATGCTCCTATAAAATACACTGAGGACTCTGGGAGACATTGCTCATTCTAGTAGGTCTGGAGTGGGGAATATGAGTCTGGAGATATATGGTAAGTTAGTGCCCCACACATACACACATGGATATGGGTATGTCAAAAGGACACAGGAGCCAATGGGCAAAAGTCTTGAATAATTTGTGAAGCAAAATAAAAAATATATTAGATTATAAACATAAAGAAAATATTCATAAGTCATGATATAAATTATTGAATACATAATGGGAGAGTAGACAATAGCTCATGCAGAATAATTCCAAATAATTTATGCAGATATTTTATGTTAAAAAAGGTAGAGCATAGCTCTTCATTCCTTAAGAGTGGGCTGTTCATTGTGACTTCCTTCCAAGGAGGGCAATATGGAAAGGATATAAAAAATATAACTTTACAGTGGAAAAACCTGACAAGCACTTTCCACCAGGTGACTAAGGGCAACGTCAACAGTGATAAGTCATGCTTGATAGCATGTACCCTTCATATGATGTCATAAAAATGACACTTTACCTGTGATATCACCCATAAAAACCCTAATTATGAAAAAAAAGTAAGACCAATTTCAATTGAGAAACATCCACGAAATACATAACCAGTATTTCTCAAAACTCTCAAGAGAATAAAAAATAAGAGAGGTCTAAAATTGTCACAGCCAAGAGAAATCTAAAGAGATATGGACAACTAAATGTAATATGGTATCCTGTATGGGATCCTGGAATGGAAAAAGATAGTAGGGAAAAAGCTGAGAAAACATGGAGTATGAATGTTAGTTGATCATTATGTATTAATATTGGCTCACTATTTGTTACAAATGTACCATACTGGTATGTTAATAGGGGAAATTTGGTATGAGGTTTATGGGAACTCCTTGTACTACAACTTTTCTGTAAATCTAAAATTGTTCTCTCCTCTCTCTATATATAATGTATATACATGTATACATATACATATATGCATATATATGTATATAGCTTTCTCTCTCTCATACACACACATATATATACGTATATACATATATACGTATATATATGTGTGTGTGTGTGTATATATATATATATATATCAATGATACCAAGAAACCCTAGAAGAATGTGTGGTGTGTAACCATCTACCTATCTACCTGAGGAGGGGTCAGGACAATAAAAATCTCTGAGAGGTGGCAACATTTGGGTTTGGCTTCAAAAGAGAAATTGGAACTTGTTAGACAAATAAGGGGATTGAAGGCAGAAGAAAGAACAAGAATTGATGTTTGGAGGCAAGTGAAGTCGTGACGTGTTCAAACAAAGAGGACAAATTCACGGCCACCAGATAGAGTTGGGAGAATTTTGTGGCTAGAATACAAAGGCTTTGCATACCATGATAAAGAGTTTGGATTTTGTTTTGGAGACAACAGACCCCACAGAGATGCTTAAGCAGGAGTGGAGTCTGTATTTGGCTTTAAGGACAGTAACCATAATCACAATGGAGGAGATGATATGAGGATACTGGAAGCTGGAATCCAATTAGACATTTCTACTGTCTCCTGAGTAGATATTTGAGGGGATGGATATATTATTTATCTTGATTTAATATTCTATACTATATTCATAAATCATAACATCACATTGTACCCCACAAACATATGTAACTACAATTTTTCAATTTACAAGTAAAAAATACAGAGGATGTCAACTACAGCAGTAGCAATAGGCTAGATTTGGGAGTGATTTCATCAATATCATCAGTATTTGGTAGCAACCTGATTGTAAAAGGTGACTGAAAAGTAACCCAAAAAAGATTCTACATTCCCCAGTTTAGATCAGCAGGTAGATAATATTGTTCTTTAGGGTAAAAAGGAGGGCCAAGATAGTTTGAAGTTATAAGAAAAGGAATAGAAGAGAGATGACAAAATCTCAGTATGATAGTGAAAAAGCTTAGTTCACATGCATTTCGATTTTTATCACCCATGTTTGTATTCCTTCCTATTGGATGACATTCATTTCTTTTTTAGTATAGATATGCCTGTAACTAACGAAGTAGAACAGTATCTTGGTTAACTATTAGACTGCATTGGCTTACTTATTATCATGTCATTACTAGCTGTGTAACCTAGGGTTTGTTACTTTATGTCTCAGTGTCTCACTTTTCTCATCATTAAATAGATAAACTTTCATGGGCTGCTGAGATGACTGACTGAATTACTTCGGGTAAATCATATATAACATTGCCAGGAACATACTAGTTGCTCAATGGACATTATTCATTACTACTTCATGTCATATTTTTGGCAGAGAGGAGGATCAAAGCAGTGAGTGACATTAAAAAACATTTTTTACAATGCTTCATAATATAAAATGTACTGCTAGATACATGGAACTGTTAACTTTTTTCCCAGTAGCCATATTTGAAATGCATGATAGGTTGTAGTATCTCCAATTTATAGGCAAGGAAACTGAAGCTCAAAGCACTTAACATACTATTCCGCCATGTAAAAGATAGTAAATTACTAGGCCTGGTGGAGACCTTATGCCTTGTCTTTTTTTTTTTAAATATTTTTAAGTTTTGTGGGTACATAGTAGGAGTATATATTTATGGGGTACATGAGATATTTTGATGCAGGCATGCAATGTATAATAATTACGTTATGGTAGATGGCATATCCACCCCCTCAAGCTTTCCAGCATTTTTTCCATGTCAGAATTTTGCCTGTTTTCAGTGATTGAAATATATTAGAGTGCATCATTGATACATGTGTAAGCAGATATAGGTACGGATTTTAGCTTTGTCCCTTATCTGAATGAGTCTGGAGGAGTTACTTCTCTAAACTTGGGTTAATCAGAATTATGGGATAATATTTGCTTTTTTTTTTTTTTTTTTGAGACAAGAGTCTTGCTTTGTCGCCCAGGCTGGAGTGCAGTGGCGTGATCTCAGCTCACTGCAAGCTCCACCTCCCGGGTTCATGCCATTCTCCTACCTCAGCCTCCTGAGTAGCTAGGACTACAGGCACTTGCCAGCACTTCCAGATAATTTTTTTTTTTTTTGTATTTTTTTAGTAGAGATGGGGTTTCACCATGTTAACCAGGATGGTCTCGATCTCCTGACCTCGTGATCCACCCGCCTTAGCCTCCCAAAGTCCTGGGATTACTGGCGTGAGCCACTGTGCCCGGCCAATGCCTTTTAAGGCATTTAGCCACTAATTAAGACAATGCATATAAAGCACTTGACAAGTGGTTGGCATATGGGAAGGATTATTTATAATCTAGTCCTTATTATTCTTATGCGAGTCTTCTAACATAAACCTTAGTCTCTATGGAAGCACATTAATAGGTTTTCTGCGAAAGGAAAGTAGCTTAGTCCTGAAAATAAAGTATTGTTAGTTCACTATCTGATGCATACAATATCTTTCACAGCATTAATGTTGTGCTTTTAAGTGTCCAGCCAGGTATTCAGATTTAGCTATGATAAATCATAATTGTTATCATCCCTTTTATTGCTATTATTATATAGCACAAAAATTATGGATAGCTTTTACTCAGGAAAATCACCATGAACATTGTGATCACAAGCTGTAAAGTACAAGGCTTCCAATTTTATACTTCAAGAAAACAGCAGGAAAGCCACTTCGGTTCATTAGCTTTCAGTTTGTATCACTAGGCACTTTGCCATATTCTCACCCTAAATTATCTTACACTGATGAGATGCCAGCTTAGAGCTGGCATTTTATGTATTATAGTTATACTTATTTCAGAATAATACAGACTACTTTTATTCCAAAAGATCTAAGACTTATAGAAGTAGGGTTAATTTTATGATTTCAACAACCATCAATAAGTACACAAGTTAAAAAGCTTAAAGCAAAATAGATTAGCACACAGTATATTTTTTCTGTTGATTTATTAAAGATATGTGGTGATCATTTTTTACATGCCATGTATTATGCTACTAATTATCTCAAAGATGTCTAAGATGTGTACTGAAAGGGTTCATCATCTAGGTATGAAAACATAAATAAAAGTATAGAGCGAGTATGACAAGGAGAGGAATTAGAAAAATCAACTTGGTTTATATAGGAAAAGGGTTTTTATATGCCTCGATATTGGATTTGAATGCATTAGAGGAGTTTTGTTTATTTTTTGTTTGGTTTTATTTTGCTTTAAAAGCAGGATGAGTCTTACATGACTTTAATGACTATAACAAATGACACAATTAACTGTTCTCCTTGTAAATAGAATGCGTAGTGATTTTTGTGATAGTGCATGATGATAATGACAGCTATTGATGTTTGAGTCCTCAGTATGTGCCAGGCACTGTTCTTAGTGAATCATTGTATCATTGGACTTCCTCAACAACCCTGTGAGATTTGTACCCTTAATATACTCATTTTACAGGTGGGTAAACAAATGATTTGATGATTGAATACATTGCTTAAAATCTCACAACTAGGAAGTAGGGAAGTCAGGATTTAAATTCATGAAGTAAAATTCCTTCACTGGGGTTAATATTCTGGTGGATAGAGAATCCCTTCCTAAATGAGTAAACACAAATGTAGGAAATTAAACAAACCCCAAATGCTATGCTTTCTGAACTTAGAGTTGATTACACAGGAGATCCAGATGGCCCTGGATCTCCTTATTTGTTCCTGGATAGGGAGAAGGAATATGATTTATCCCATTTCTTCTCTTTTTATCTCCATAAGTCTAGTAACAGACACAAGAGTAACACTTAGGTTGTACTAGGCTCATCTAATACCTCTTTATCTGGACCAGCATTTACCCTAGGTCTTTCATAAATTACTACTTTCATAGTCTATTTATTGGTATATGTAAAAATAAAGTTCTGTTGTAAACAAGCTTTGGAAGTAGTGGGAAATAACCAGTTTAACATGCCTCCTCCAAGCAATATTTCTCAGAACCTTTCCTACACATTGTGAATTACCAATAGAAGCGATATACTATGCAGTATTTTCTAAATTTACTTAACCAAAGTAAATGTCATTTTTTAATGGGCATTTCATGTGCCTACTGTTCTGAGACACATTTTGGGGAAGACTCTTCTAGAAAGTTCAATATAATTTCAAAACATAATAATCACAGAAAGAATTCATATTGCTCTCTCACTCGCTCTCTTTCTCAGGTAAATCTCTTTCTCAGGTAAATCAGGTGTCTTTCTATAGGCCTTGTTGCTTAGCTACAAAGTAACCAGGAAAGCTTAATGAAACATCTGAAAATCAAATTATCAAAGTACATTATTCCATTATATTATAGAGAGAGTCATTTGGCTTTTTTCATATTAGGAAGAGTCATATTCAAAACCTACAAGGTAATACAAGCCATCTGATAACTTAATTAAATAAGCATTAGAGCACATTTTGGGAGCACTCTATTGTAAATAACAGAATTGACAACCATGTTATAGGATCTACATGAACTATTCCTGTAAAAGTGTCTCCCTAGAGGATTTCAAGTAGATACTTATTCAAATACCAAATAGCACACATTTTCTGAAAGAGGAATAATACTATCAGAAGCTTCTATCTTGCATGTAAGGTATGAATTATTTGTTTCCATTAACTTTTCTTTTTAAACTTGTCAGCAATGTTTCCTTCTTGAAAAATCTCATAGTTTCTACAGAGATCATTCAGATTATCTTTTTGCTAGTTTAAAAATTTCCCCACATCCAGTATTGACATAATCTCTTACCTCAGTAACTGACACAAACTAGGTACCTAATATTTATTAAAATACTGTATTGATTTGTACTTTTCCCAGAGGAAGGAGAACCTTCATTCGCTACTACTAATCTAATAGATTTTTCTTTTCTGTTTACATTACCCTTTACTAAATTCCCATACCTCTTAATGCCTGTCAAAGTGATTCTTCCTCCTTTACCTTCAGTAGTATTGCTAATAATAGCTTTCAGCTTCTACCTGTAGTCACCATCATGACCAAATTTGTTTGAATACCAGTACCAGCAGCCTTCTTTAAAATGGCCAAGAATTGCAACCACCCAAGTATACATCAACGAGTGAATGGATAAGCAAACCGAGGTATATCCATATGAGGAGATACTATTTGGCAATACAAGATGAAGTAATGATACATGCTACAACATAAATGAAGCTTGAAAATATCATGCTAAATGGCACATGCCAGTCACAAAAAGCCACTTGTTTCATAATTCAATTTATATGGCAGGTTCAAAAATGTCATACCTATAAAGATACACTTAGATTAGTAGCCTAGAGCTAGAGATGGAAATAGGGATTAATGGCAAATGGGCACGAGGAATCTTCATGTGGGGATGGAAGTATTCTAAAAACTTTATTGTGGTGATGGTTGTATAATATGGCAAATGTACAAAAATCATTGAATTGTACACATAAAATGAATTTTATGACATGTAAATTATATCCCAAAATTGTTTAAAAAAAAAACTACTGAGTACCACTGTACTTAAAATGAATTCTGTCCATTACCATCAGCTTATGAGTTAACATACATTGTTTTATGTAAAAGTTATCTTTCTATAGAGACAGTCATACTGTACCAGAAATGCTTTTGATATATTCTTCTTCTAGTAACTATTTGAAATTTGTGGTAACTATTTTAGAAGCTCTCATTTAGTGACTGTGCTCCAACCATCAGGAGACGCACATTGTATTTTCAGTGTAGTTGGTTGTATTACCCTGGACCATTCCCTTCCCTTATTTATCTAAAAAATAATGATGCTCTTCTTTATAAAGTATTTAAATATTCATATTCAAATGGAATATCTTCCAAATATGGCATACCTTCAAGTAAGCTATTTAAATAATATACTGAAATGTGATTATTGCTCTAAAAAAGGGTGTTTTTTTTTTTTCCAAAGTTTGGAGAGTAGAAGAATGGTTACCAGAGGCTAGGAAGTTACATTCGATTTTGATCAAATGCATTGAAAATGGAAAGCTATATTGCCACTATACCAAATTTCACCCTCTTGTAAAATAAAAATAGACCAACATGTATTAAAAACTGGAAATCAGATACTATTTTATAATAATACATTCATCCACAATTACTCAGTGGGTACTTAGAATGCAAAATTTTATGAGTAATTAACCAGCTGAAAATTAAATATATTTCAATATATATGAAAATAAAAAATACAGGTGATCTATGTTTGCAAAAAATATATATGTAGTAAAAGCTATTTTACCTGAAAGCTATTTTTTGTAATTCAGATAATTAGAGGACGACACAAAATGCTTTTAAGTTAATATAGTTTGCATATAGGTATTTTGTAGAACCAGAAGGTAAAATAAATAGATTTTTCGCCATTCCTATGGTTTTTCTTATCAGGAAGAGTTGAATGAAGTTTGATTGATATGTTATTTTTCTAAGAATGTTTTTCTCATTTTAAAATTGCTTTTCAACCTAATTTTCTGAATTTTTTCTTAGCTAAAGTGACTAAAACTTGCAAAAGTCTGAAAGTTTCTCTGATAGTCTCTAAACACTTTTACACAAAATAGGAAATTTGAAAGTCAAAGTCTTAGAGAATAAACATCCACAGACTCTTATCTTTAAAATGGTAATTCCATACAACTAGAAAATTAACAAAGTCTCTTCTTTCAAGGCAATCACTAATCTTTCCTATAGTAAAATATTAGGCTGAATCCTAGTTTATCACTGAACTTATGTTCCTTCTTCTTTGCTAATAAATCCTTGAATTAATAAATAAAATGAAACAGTAAAATGGATTAATGGAATTTCAGTAAGGATTAAATAACATAACATACCAAATATTTTGTACATTGTCTGATATATAGTATTCAATAAATGAATAATAAACTTAATAATTATTTGCCCAGTAAATACCAATGAATTCTAATCTAGAATAATTATAAAGGTACAAGCTATTCTGGATTTCTCATGTATTTCTACCACAATTTGGACACTAAGGAAGGGCATTGACTTTTGTGCATATTTCTAAACATTATTCTCAAACTTTGTCCAAACCATTTACTGAAAAAATACCGCTAAGTGATTATCATAAAGGAATAACTAAAGCTAAACATTTTCTTTAACAACGAAGAAGTGTCTTAAAAACAGCCTTTAAAACTCATGGTTTTATTATTCCACTTTCTCCCTCTTCCTTACTCCAAATCCTAGTCCAACAAATTAAGCTCCAATCACTTTTAGTTTATTATTATTATTTTTTTTGAAGGAGTCTTTCTCTGTCCCCCAGGCTGGAGTGCAATGGCGTGATCTCGGCTCACTGCAACCTCTGCCTCCTGGGTTCAAGTGATTCTCCTGTCTCATCCTCCCGAGTAGCTGGAATTACAGGAGTGCACCACCACGCTTGGCTAATTTTTTTTTTTTTTGTATTTTTAGTAGAGATGGGGTTTCATCATTTTGGCCAGGCTGGTCTCGAACTCCTGACCTCAGGTGATTCGCCCACCTCGGCCTCCCAAAGTTCTGGGATTACAGGCCTGAGCCACCACGCCCAGCCTCCAGTCACTTTTAGATATAGTAAGTGACATTAAATGGTAATTTTTTTCCTACAACTTAGTTCCCCGCACTTGTCTCATGATTTAAAAATCAAAAATCACATGCTGTGTAAAGAGTACTATTAGAAATATTCAGCAATCTTTAAAAGCTGCAATTTCATAGTTATTCTTTATTTCTCTATAACTTTGACACCGCCTAAGACATTTCAAAAGAATTCCAAACCACTACAAGCAACCAAACACCATGAGGAAGCACTGTGTATGCCTTCTCTATCTACTAATTTTACTGAATGATTAAAGGTTTATGGAAATGAGGAAACCCCATCTTCTTCCGAGAGGTATTTTTGAAAGTGTTATGAGAAGGGCTTCAAAATGGCTGAGTAGAGGCACTGAATATTCACTTCGCCACAAATAATAAGCAAAATAGTGAGTACATAACCATACCTCATATAGAACACCGAAGAAAGAATGCTGGAATTTCTCAGGGCAATGATAGAAAACACCTGAGGCAAAGGAGGACCTGGAGGTGAGACAGCCAAACTGGTGCGAATCAGCTGGAAGCCCTGAAATGCTCCCCAGTGCAAGAAAAGGGTGAGAGACCTCCATGGTTCACATTCTCACCAAGGACTCCTGCAATCCTAGTCATGGAAGAGTCCCTCAACCCTCACAGGCCCTGAGACTGGTATAGGACAATGCCTGGAGTCTGCATGACAGCATTACCTCTAAGAGGGAACTCACATTGGGTCCCATGGATCCGCGGAGACCCAAGTAGCTACAGAATGGCACCATTTTGAGTGCCCAGCCTCCATCAGACTGCATCCCACCCTAGGGCTCAACAGCCCCAGCATTTCCACATCCCTGGAACCCCATTCACATCCCTCTACTTCCAACTGGACGGCTAGAGCTGCACAAGGCTAGTTGGACCCAGCACAGCAACAGAAACCCCAGCATTCTAGCACACATGGACAGTACAGCAAACTAGGGAGGTGTCCCAGGATAAAGTTAGTCAAAGCACATTTTCCCACAGCCTAGAACGCACCTGCCTGGGGCTGATACGACTGACAGCAACCTCACTTCCACTAGCTGCAGGGCCACAGTGCTCTCATTGCTGCAGCTGGAGGACAAAGTACATGTTCCCCTGAATCTGAGAGCTGCCTGCTGAGGTGGCTGCCTTCTGTGCCCCGAGGAGCAGGGCCACAGCATACTTGCAGGCACTCTGAAAATAGAATCTCTCTTCACCCACTGACGTTGCTGCTGCCACCCAAGCACACCACAAGCAGCCTGGGGATTGCCACGCCCTGCCCATCATAGCCTGACCTGATGCACATCACTGGGGTGGTCGAAAACAAGCCCATCTAGTCTGCTACAGCTCACCCTCCTGCCCAGTGCTAGATAATGCTGCTAGGGGGATGGGGGTTTCCCCACCCTGTAAGCCACCCCAGGTGCAAACACAAACCACCTGAGAACCTAATAATAGTCCAAGAATGCCTGCCTCCACCAGCACCCAAGGGTGCTGTCCAGAGGCCCTGCCCTATTTACCACAGTTTATGCCTGTGTACAACATCAGGGGGGCCTGAGGATAGGCCATCCCCAAATGGGACTGCTTCCCTCAATGCCTGAGGCACAGCAACTGAGGACATGGGAACCACCCCACTCTGTCACACTGGCTCTGCATGCACACTACCAGGGGTCTAACAACATGCCCAGGAAATCTGCTGCTGGGCCCAAGCATGTTGACCAGAGGACTGGGGATTGCCTTGCCCAGTGCACCACAATTGGCATCTCTGTACTTCTTCCAGGGCCAGCAGGTAAGGCCTGCCCAGCCTGCCACCACAACTGCTGGCACGCACCTGAATGTTCCAAGTGGGGGTCTCAGAAATGACACAACCCATCACACCCATCACTAACATAAGCACATGCCACCTGGGAAACCAAGAATTGCCCCACCACCATTATTGCAACCGTCCATGCCACACATGCTGCTCAGGAGCCCGAGGACACATTCACCCACATAGCCTATGGCTGCCACTATGGGGGCCCAAGGAATGCCCCGCCTGACAACCCTGTCCCCAACAAAGCCTCACCATAGCCTTCAATAACAACCACACACTAAGCCATTAGGAAATTATGGACAACACTGACATTGTTCATAGCCAAAGAAATCACATGAAGACTACATTACTGCATGCACCCACGATCAAAGCCAAAGTGCCCTACCTACCCAACCGACAACATAGATATATCTTCAGTAAAAACTCTTCCCCTATGAAGTCAACCCCCCAAAATTGGAAGAAGTGACTATAGTACCAGATGTGCAGATATCAGTGTAAGAATGCAAGAAACATGAAAAATGATGGAAAGTAACACCTCCAATAAACACAATAATTCTCTAGCAACAGATTCCAATGAAAAAGGAATCAATGAAATTCCTGAAAATCAAAATGATATTAAAGATGTTTAGTGAGTTACTAAAAAAACTAAAAATAGAGCTATTATGTGATCCAGAAATCCCACTGCTGGATATATACCCTAAAATGATGAAAATCAGTGTATCAAAGAGATGTCTGCACTTCTACGTTTCTTGCAGCACTAGTCACAATAGCCAAGATTTGGAAGTAACCTAAGTGTCCATCAACAGATGAATGGATTAAAAAAAGTGGCAATTATACACAACGGAGTACTATTAATCCATGAAGAAGAATGAGATCCTGTAATTTGCAACGACATGAATGGAACTACAGGGCATTATGTTCAGTGAAATAAGCAAGGCACAGGAAGACAAATATCACGTGTTCTCACTGATTTATGGGGCCTAAAAATCCAAACAATTGAACTCATGGACATAGACAGTAGAAGAATTGTTACCAAAGTATGGGAAGGGTAGTGGGGGTGAGTGGTGGGGGTGAGGTGGGGATGGTTAAAGGGTACAAAAATTTATTTAGGAAGAATAAATAAGACCTAGTGTTTGATAGCACAACAAGGCAGCTATAGTCAATAGTTTAGTTTTACATTTAAAAATAAATAGAAGTATAATTGGATTGTTTGTAACACAAAGAATAAATGCTTGAGGGTATGGATACCCCATTTTTCATGATGTGATTATTATACATTGCATGCCTGTATTAAAACATCTCATGTACCTCATAAATATATACACTATGTACCAGCAAAAATTAAAAATAAATGAAAAAAGGACATTCAGTGAGATACAAAATAATGTATATAAACAATAGAAAAATCAGAAAAATAATTCAGGATGTGAATGAGAAATTCACCAAGGAGACTGATATCATAAAAAGAAACAGAAATACAGTAATGGAATTCAGTGAATGAAATAAAAAATATAATCTAGAACTTTAACAACTGTCTATATCAAGCAGAAAAAGGAATTTCAGAACCTGAAGACATGTCTTTCAAAATAACCCAGTCAGCCAGAAAAAGTAACAGAATAAAAAAGAATGAAGAGAGTCTACATGATATGTAGAATACCATACAGTGACCAAAAATCAAATTTTGTGTATTCTGGAAGGTAAGAGAAGGTCAATGACATAGAAAATCTGTTTGACAAAATAATAGCTAAATACTTCCCAAGACTATCAAGAGATTTAGACATTAAGATACAGGAAGCAAATAAATCCCCAAATAGATTCAATTCAACAAAATCTTCTCCATGACATGTTATAATCAACCCGTCAAAAGTCAAAGACAAAGAGAATTCTAAGAGAATTATCTTAGTAGCAAGAGAAAAGCACCTAGTCACATATATAAGGGTTTACCATCAGATTTACATAGTACTTCTCAGCAGAGACCTTACAGGCCAGGAGAAAATGGGATGATATATTCAAAGTGTTGAAAGAAAAACAAAAATCTGCCAGCCAAGAATACTCTATAATCTGCAAAGTTATCCTTCATAAATGAAGGAGAAATAAAGTATTTCCCAGAGAAGCAAAAGCTGAAGGAATTCATTGCCACTGAACCAACACTACAAGAAATGCTCAATGGGAGTGCTAAACCTAGAAGCAATAGAACAGTATATACCATAAAACAAACAAACAAACAAACAAAAAACGTGAGAATATAAAACTTACTGGTAAACACACAAATGAGCAAAATAAGAGTCAAATGTCACCACTACAGAAAACCACCAAAATCACAATGATAACCGATAAGAGAGAAAGGAACAAAAGATATACAAAGCAAACAAAAACAGTTAATATAATGAGAGGTATATGTCGTCACCTATCAATAATAACCTTGAATGTAAATAAATTAAATTTCCCAGTTAAAATATATAGAATGACTGAATAATGAGATCAATTATATAAGATAGAACAATTCTAAATATGTATACACTCAATACTGAAGCACCCAGATATATAAAGCAAATATATCAAATCAAAAGGAAGAGATAGACTCCAATACAATTATAGTGGAGGACTTCAACAGCCTACCCTCATTAGACGGATATCGTCAGAAAATCAAAAAAAAAAAAAAAAAAAAAAAGAAAGAAACATTGGCTTTGAAATGCTCTGTAGGCCAGTGCGGTGGCTCATGCCTATAATCCCAGCCCTTTGGAAGGTCAAGGCAGGTGGATCACTTGAGGCCAGGAATTCGAGATCAGCCTGGCCAACATTAGCTGGGTGTGGTGGTGCATGCCTGTAATCCCAGCTACTCTGGAGGCTGAGGTAAGAGAATCACTTGAACCTGGGAGGCTGAAGTTGCAGTGAGCCGAGATCGCACCATTGCACTCTGGCCTGGGTTACAAGAGCCAAACTCCACCTCAAAAAAAAAAAAAAAAAAACTCATCCTTTTTATGGCTGCATAGTTTTCCATGGTGTATATGTGCCACATTTTCTTGATCCAGTCTATCATTGATGGACGTTTGGGTTGGTTCCAAGTCTTTGCTATTGTGAATAGTGCTGCATTAAACATACGTGTGCATTTGTCTCTATAGAATGATTTATAATCCTTTGGGTATATACACAGTAATGGAATTGCTGAATTGCTGGGCCAAATGGTATTTCTGGTTCTAGATCCTTGAGGAATAGCCACACTGTCTTCCACAATGGTTGAACTAATTTACACTCCCACCAACAGTGTAAAAGCGTTCCTATTTCTCCACATCCTCTCCAGCACCTGTTGTTTCCTGACTTTTTAAAGATTGCCATTCTAACTGGCATGAGATGATATCCCATTGTGGTTTTGATTTGCATTTCTCTAATGACCAGTGATGAGCTTTTTTTCATGTTTGTTGGCTGTATAAATGTCTTTTTTTTGAGAAGTGTCTGTTCTTATCCTTCACCCACTTTTTGATGGGGTTGTGTTTTTCTTGTAAATTTATTTAAGTTCCTTGTAGATTCTGGATATTAGCCCTTTGTCAGATGGATAGATTGCAAAAAACTTTCCCCCATTCTGTAGGTTGCCTGATGATAGTTTATTTTGCTGTGCAGAAGCTCTTTAGTTTAATTAGATCCCATTGGTCAACTTTGGCTTTTGTTGCCATTGCTTTTGGTGTTTTAGCCATGAAGTCTTTGCCCATGCCTATGTCCTGAATGGTATTGCCTAGGCTTCCTTCTGGGGTTTTTATGGTTTTAGGTCTTATGTTTAAGTCTTTAATCTATCTTGAGTTAACTTTTTATAAGGTGTAAGGAAAGGGTCCAGTTTCAGTTTTCTGCATATGGCTAGCCAGTTTTCCCAACACCATTTATTAAAAAGGGAATCCTTTCCCCATTGCTTGTTTTTGTCAGGTTTGTCAAAGATCAGATGGTTGTAGATGGATGGCATTATTTCTGAGGCCTCAGTTCTGTTCCATTGGTCTATATCTTTGTTTTGGTACCAGTACCGTGCTGTTTTGGTTACTGTAGCCTTGTAGTATTGTTTGAAGTGAGGAAGCATGATGCCTCCAGCTTTGTTCTTTTTACGCAGGATTGTCTTGGCTATCCGGGCACTTTTTTAGTTGCATATGAAATTTAAAGTAGTTTTTTCTAATTCTATGAAGAAAGTAAATGGTATCTTGATGGAGACAGCATTGAATCTATAAATTACTTTGGGCAGTATGGCTATTTTCACGATATTGATTCTTCCTATCCATAAGCATGGAATGTTTTTCCAATTGTTTGTGTCCTCTCTTCAACATATGCAAATCAATAAACGTAATCCATCACATAAACAGAACCAATGACAAAAACCACATGATTATCTCAATAGATGCAGAAAAGGCCTTCGATAAAATTCAACACTGCTTCATGCTAAAAACTCCCAATAAACTAGGTATTGATGGAATGTATCTCAAAATAATAAGAGCTACTTATGACAAACCCACAGCCAATATCATACTGAATGGACAAAAGCTGGAAGCATTCCCTCTGAAAAATGGTACAAGACAAGGATGCCCTCTCTCACCACTCCTATTCAACATAGTATTGAAAGTTCTGGCCAGGGCAATCAGACAAGGGAAAGAAATAAAGCATATTCGAATAGGAAGAAAGGAAGTCAAACTGTCTCTGTTTGCAGATGACATGATTGTATATTTAGAAAACCCCATCGTCTCAGCCCCAAATCTCCTTAAGGTGATAAGCAACTTCATCAAAGTCTCAGGATACAAAATCAACGTGCAAAAATCACAAGCATTCCTACACACCAATAACAGACAAACAGAGAACCATATCATGAGTGAACTCCCATTCACAATTGCTACAAAGAGAATAAAATACCTAGGAACACAACTTACAAGGGGTGTGAAGGACCTCTTCAGGGAGGGCCTTTTAAGAAAGTATAAGAAACAGTGTTGAGACAGGCCTGCTTCAGAGATCAATAGTACATTTGTATAATTGGAGAATTAGAGGCAAGGTATTGGGTCTCACTGAAACTAAATGGTCTTAATTGGATCTTGAGTGGTTTTCTGTCATAAAAACTTATTGATCTTCACCACTTTCCACCCAGAAATTAAAACACCAAATGGAACAACTCCATATGAGTTCAGTCTTTCAATTAGAGCACTCTACCTTATGAAGATTTAGAAATTAGTTGTTGAATCTTTTATGAAATATAAGGTGCTTACAGCTTGGTACTTTCTTCAGGTAAATATAAGTTCAAACATCCCAGTTTTTCTGAAAATAGCAACTATTTTATTAGGGCTCAATTTATTATATCGACTCATTTAGTGGGAAGACCTCTGGCATTCTAAACAATTTTGAACATACTCATAAACCTAGAAAATCAGCAAAAAAGCTACCCAAATGCCAAAGTAATGCTTTAAAGTGCAAGCACTTAATTCCATAAGAAAGGTTTTATTCAGCCATTACAAACTCTTTATATACTACACAAAATTATATCCAGGCTCTGAAAACACCTTCTTTCCCAGATCGACTGTAATTATCTTCTTTTAAACAACCATCAGTGATTACCTAATTTCTAAAATAGCCCTCCTAACTGGTCTTCCTGTTTCTACTTGTTCCTTCTTATTTTTTTCTCAACACAATATTCAGGGTTATTTTTAAAAAATGTAAAGCTCCATCATATCACTCCTAAACTCAAAACCCTCCAATGCTTTCTCCATTCAATCAGAATAAAAGCCAAAAATTTTGAAATGTCTATCTAAGGCCCTAAATCACCTGGACTCTGATTACTTCTTGATATTATCCCTTTTCCTTTCTCCTTGCCTCACTCTTTTAAAAACATGTGGACTTTCCTGCTGCTCCTTGAACCCAACAAGCTTGCTTCTACCTTAGAGTCCTTTCTCTGGGTGATCTGTCTACATCAAGAGCTCTTCCCTTTAATTTCTACACAATTCCCTCCTTCACTGCTTTCAGGTGTTTGCTCAAAAGTCAATATCTGAATAAACTTTCCCTGAGCCAGATGTTTTTAATTATATTACCCTTATTATCCCTGAAACCTCCATTCCCTTTCCTACTTTGTTTTCCTCTATAGCGTTTATCAATATGTGAGATATCATCTATTTTATTTGGCAAGTGTTTGTCTTGCTCCATTTGAATATAAGCTTCATAAAAACATAGATTTTCTTTTTCTTTTTTGGTTGCTGCTGTATCCCAAAAAAAGCTAGGCCAGTGCCTGACATATACATGCAATATATACTTTTGCATAGAAAGGGAAGAAAATAAAAAAGAAAGCGAGGAAGAAACAGAGACAGTAAGAATATTTCCGTATGTGCAGCACTTACATGTATATATATGATATATAGATATTATTCAAGTTTTGCTGCCAAATTAAACTTTCTAAAAGGTTATAAGTATTTTGAAAAAAAATCTAATGCATGCCTGATAATCTCAGGATGAAACGTTTAGCAAACTTTTTCACTATACTGTCGCATTCTGCCACATACACAATAAATTCCCTAAACACGCCATACCCATTCACATGTTACTCCAGATATACCTAATTGTTTACAGCTTCATAAGTACAAAGTAATATTTCAAACATTAGTGCTTTACATAAGATGTTCTTACTTCCAGGAATCCCATTTCCCTTGCCCTTCAGTTAAAGAACTCTTATTTGTATGTCCTAGGTAAGTCCTTTCAGAATTCATTTTAAAATTTTCTTGGCCGGGTGCAGTGGCTCACGCCTGTAATCCCAGCACTTTGGGAGGCCGAGGCGGGTGGATCACAAGGTCAGGAGATCGAGACCATCCTGGCTAACAAGGTGAAACCCCGTCTCTACTAAAAATACAAAAAATTAGCCGGGCGTAGTGGCGGGCGCCTGCAGTCCCAGCTATTTGGGAGGCTGAGGCAGGAGAATGGCGTGAACCCGGAAGGCGGAGCTTGCAGTGAGCTGAGATCGCACCACTGCACTCCAGCCTGGCCGACAGAGCCAGACTCCGTCTCAAAAAAAAAAATTTCTTTTTAAAATTTTATGGGTACATATTAGTTTTGTACACATTTATGGAGTGTGTGTGATATTTGTATACAGGCATACAATGTGTAATGATCAAATCTGGGTAATGGGGACTCTTTAAGTACTGCCTTTATGATTGTCATCCATGCTTGCCTCTGTCACAGCAATAATATTCATTATTTCAAATTAATTTGTGTCTCCAGTATACTAAGCAGTAATACACTCCATTTTAATCACCTTCTTCCTTTCCTGGTAAATCCTATAGTCCCACTACAATACTTGAGATAAATCAGTCTGTAATTTTACTAAGTGAATAAAAAAGTAAGTAAAAGGATTCCTTTTTGAATGACAAGTTACATTTATTTAGGCGAACAAGATAGAGTAGCATTAGTACATGATAAATGTGTTTCATATCGCTGGGAAACATAGACATTGTTTAATAAACATTAGCCATTTTAAGAAAAAACTTACATTAAACCACATAATGAAATAAAGTACATGCTAATTAAAGATTTTAATATCGATAATAAATACATTAAGATATTAAAGATTAAATCAGTTTTTCAAATCTTGCAGTAGAGAAAGCTTTCATGAAAATGACACCAAAGGGAAATTCACAAAAGACTAACAGATTTTTTTACTATGTAAAATTTTTATGCATCGAAAAATAAAAACAAATGTACCATATTCAAAAAGAAACATATAAGAGTGAAAGCCATAATGATCTTATTATGTAAGATCCTGTATGAATAAGTTAAAAAGTATTCCATGTAGAAAACAAGGAACATGAACAGATAATTCTTTTTTTATATATACTTTAAGTTCTAGGGTACATGTGCACAACATGCAGGTTTGTTACATATGTATACCTGTGCCATGTTGGTGTGCTGCACCCATTAACTCGTCATTTACATTAGGTATATCTCCTAATGCTATCCCTCCCCCCATCCCCACCCCACGACAGGCCCCATGTGTGATGTTCCCCTTCCTGTGTCCAAGTGTTCTCATTGTTCAATTCCCACCTATGAGTGAGAACATGCAGTGTTTGTTTTTTGTCCTCGTGATAGTTTGCTGAGAATGATAGTTTCCAGCTCCATGTCCCTACAAAGGACATTAACTCATCCTTTTTTATGGCTGCATAGTATTCCGTGGTGTATATGTGCCACATTTTCTTCATCCAGTCTATCATTGATGGACATTTGGGTTGGTTCCAAGTCTTTGCTATTGCAAATAGTGCCACAAAAAACATACATGTGCATATGTCTTTATAGCAGCATGATTTATAATCCTTTGGGTATATAGCCAGTAATGGGATTGCTGGGTCAAATGGTATTTCTAGTTCTAGCAGGGATGCCCTCTCTCACCACTCCTATTCAACATAGTGTTGGAAGTTCTGGCCAGGGCATTCAGGCAGGAGAAAGAAGTAAAGGGTTTTCAATTAGGAAAAAAGGAAGCCAAATTGTCCCTGTTTGCAGATGACATGATTGTATATCTAGAAAACCCCATCGTCTCAGCCCAAAATCTCCTTAAAGTGATAAGCAACTTCAGCAAAGTCTCAGGATACAAAATCAATGTGCAAAAATCACAAGCATTCTTATACACCAATAACAGACAAACAGAGAACCAAATCATGAGTGAACTCCCATTCACAATTGCTTCAAAGAGAATAAAATACCTAGGAATCCAACTTACAAGGGATGTGAAGGACCTCTTCAAGGAGAACTACAAACCACTGCTCAACAAAATAAAAGAGGATACAAACAAATGGAACAACATCCCATGCTCATGGATAGGAAGAATTAATATTGTGAAAATGGCCGTACTGCCCAAGGTAATTTATAGATTCAATGCCATCCCCATCAAGCTACCAATGACTTTCTTCACAGAATTGGAAAAAACTACTTTAAAGTTCATATGGAACTAAAAAAGAGCCCGCATTGCCAAGACAATCCTAGGCCAAAAGAACAAAGCTGGAGGCATCACGCTACCTGACTTCAAACTATACTACAAGGCTACAGTAACCAAAACAGCATGGTACTGGTACCAAAACAGAGATATAGACCAATGGAACAGAACAGAGCCCTCAGAAATAATACTACACACCTACAACCATCCAATCTTTGACAAATCTGACAAAAACAAGAAATGGGGAAAGGATTCCCTATTTAACAAATGGTGCTGGGAAAACTGGCTAGCCATATGTAGAAAGCTGAAACTGGATCCCTCCCTTACACTTATACAAAAACTAATTCAAGATGGATCAAAGACTTAAATGTTAGACCTAAAGTCATAAAAACCCTAGAAGAAAACCTAGGCAATACCATTCAGGACATAGGCATGGGCAAGGACTTCATGTCTAAAACACCAAAAGCAATGGCAACCAAAGCCAAAACTGACAAATGGGATATAACTAAACTAAAGAGCTTCTG